>NC_000004.12:97103199-97406229 GCF_000001405.40 Homo sapiens | reverse complement strand
GGGAAAAAGTTAGAATAAACTTTGAAGGAACCAATCTACATTATCGTCGTCTAATTCCCAGAATTACTGTGAGGATTAGATTCAGTTCTCTGTATCAAGCTTTCAGGATGACACAGAATATGCAGGATATAGTAGATGCTCAGGAAGTGGTAGCTTATACAAGATTTTAGGATCACAGTTTTGAATAAAAAGAAAAAAAAGCAATGGAGCCATTTAGAAGACAATCTCTGCAGTTTAGAGTAGAAGAAATAATGACACAGAATGAAAATGAAGGTTGTACATATGAACAAATGAATAGATACTCATGTTATTTCAAAGGCATCATGGACCGGACTCCATGACAGAATGTAACTGGTAGTTGCAAAGTTGATTGTTCAGATTGCTAGTGATTTTCAGTATGAGGCTACTTGTTTTATTTCAAGATAGATGCTGGAAAGGGAACCAAATCAGTTTCAAATGCCACAATTGATTGTCCATAGCCATTTTGTGTTCTTAGAACTAAAAATTGTTAGGACAGACATCTGAAGAGTTGGTATCAATTTGGCATTCTCTCCGAAACAGTAAATCTCAATAAATATGTCCTAGATGGGTCTTTTGTAACCTAAATGGGTCCTAGATGGGTTGTTTGAACACCTAAATAGTGATTACCTGTAATAAGAAATGAAATCAATACACTTTTTAAATTGTATAAGCTCAAAATATCTCCATTTTAAGGTAGAAGAAGTTATTAGTAGAAGCGCTTTAGACCTATTTTCTGCAAGGGATTTATTTCCCTGAAACATGACTACCAGCAAGACCAAAAAATGTGTTAAGTCCAAATGCTCAGTAGGACATCCAACTTAACCATATCATAAAATCTTTCAGGAAGCCAGTAATAGAGTTCTCAGTGTTTTCTTACGGTTTACAAGGGAGAAACAATCATTCACTTAGCACCTTGTTCATGTACTTAGTACATGAATAACGGTCCTTTTCTCTGATCGCTAGTTAGAGTCTTTGGCTCTCAATCTTCTGCTGACTTCTATTTAGAGCTTTTTCTTTTTTCCTTTCTTCCATTCACATACAAGCAATTCAGGCTAGTAGCTTAACTAATGTCTTTTACTGATCACTGATTTCTGTCTGCCTCAAGGATTGTTTAGTTAGTGCAAAGTACACTTAGTGCATCTGGTTACCCTGACTCATCCTCTGAAGAATGCTGATTCCTCAGGCGTGTCTTCAAGACTTTTATTTGAGATGGTTCTAACCTCTGAACCCCCAAGTATCTGGGCCAGGTTGGAGGAGCATTACATCTTTTCTCTTAAGAGCATTCATTTTAGAAGGAATGAGAAGTGAATTCTCCATTTCTATACATGTTTTCCTCTTCTACATAGAAAAAAATATAGTCAGAATTAGTTTAATGATGAAAATTTTAGATGTTATGTGAAAGATAAGAAAATGGTTATATTGCATCAATAAGTTAATTAATATAGTTATAGAAAAACATAAAATATAATACAAATAAGAAAATGAACACGTATTGAACACTTTCTATATACCAGGTATCATGTGGACCACTTCAGATATATTCTCTCAATTATTCCTTTTAACAATCATGTATGTGAGAGACTATTATCTTAATTTTATAAACAAGCCAACTGCAGATCAGAGATTAAGAAACTAGTCCAGTGTTTCACACATGCAGCTAGGAAGAGCAGTTCAGGTATTCAAATCAGGCAGCCTGATTCCAGTTTCAGGGGAAATGTGTGTGTGTGTGTGTGTGTGTGTGTGTGTGTGTGTGTGTGTGTAATGTGAACTAAGATCTTAATTTCTTAATGCTAATATGAAATTGATTCACTAAGCAGTTTCTCAGAAAAAGCAAATACTAAATGTCACAACAGATGGAGTGCTAGTTTGTTGTCTTATTCTGCCCTTTGGATGTTTCAAACTGCTGTTTCCTGCTTCAAAATATCAGTTAGGAAAGTCAAAGTTACAAAAAGTGAAAGCAAAAGAATAGAACCAATAAAGGGCAAGTCTATCAGAAGAACACATTTAGGAGACTCTTCAATAAGGGAATGAAAAAGGAATATTGTTTTTCTCTAAACTACTTTTTTTTTTTTTTGAGACAGAATCTTGCTCTGTCGGCCAGGCTGGAGTGCAATGGCACAATCTCGGCTCACTGCAACCTCCGCTTCCCAGGCTCAAGCAATTCTCCTGCCTCAGACAACTGAGTAGCTGGGATTACAGGCGTGTGCCACCACGCTGAGCTAATTTTTGTATTTTTAGTAAAGAAGAGGTTTCACCATGTTGGCCAGGCTGGTCTCGAACTCCTGACCTCAGGTAATCTGCCTGCCTTGGCCTCCCAAAGTGCTGGGATTACAGGTGTGAGCCACCGTGTCCAGCCTCTCTAAACTACTTTTTAAAGACCAAGAGTTTTTGGTCATTGCTGGCAAGATGGCCAAATAGGAACAGCTGTGGCCTGCAGCTCCAAGTGAGATCGATGCAGAAGGCAGGTGATTTCTGCATTTCCAACTGAGGTACCCGGTTCATCTCACTAGGACTGGGTAGACAGTGGATGTAGCCCAAGGAGAGCGAGCTCAAGCAGCGTGCGGCGTTGCCTCATCCGGGAAGTGCAAGGGGTCTGGGAATTCCCTCTATTAGCCAAGAGAAGCCATTAGGGACTGTACCATGCACTCCAGAACAGATACTGCACTTTTCCCATGGTCTTCTCAACCCACAGACCAGGAGATTCCCTCCAGTGCCTATGCCACCAGGGCCCTGGGTTTCCAGCACAAAACTGGGCAGCCATTTGGGCAGACACTGAGCTAGCTGCAGGAGTTTTTTTTTTTTCATACCTCAGTGGCACCAGGAATGCCAGAGAGACAGAACTGCTTACTCCCCTGGAAAGGGGGCTGAAGCTTGGGAGCCAAGTGGTCTGGCTCAGTGCATCCCACCCCCACAGAGCCCAGCAAGCTAAGATCCACTGGCTTGAAATTCTTGCTGCGAGCACAGCAGTCTGAGCTCTACCTGGGATGCTCAAGCTTGGTGGGGGGAAGGGCGTCTGCCATTGTTGAGGCTTGGGTAGGCGGTTTTACCCTCACAGTGTAAACAAAGCCCCCAGGAAGTTCTAACTGGGCAGAGCCCACCGCAACTCAGCAAGGCCACTGTGGCCAGACTGCCTCTCTAGATAGGTTCCCTCCTGTCTGGGCAGGACATCTCTGAAAGAAAGGCAGCAGCCCCAGTTAGGGACTTAGAGATAAAACCTGCACCTCCCTGGGATAGAGCAACTGGGGGAAGGGGTGGTTGTGGGCACAGCTTCAGCAGACTTAAACGTCCCTGCCTGGAAGCTCTGAAGAGAGCAGTAGATCTCCCAGCAAGTGTTCAAGTTCTGATAATGGACAGACTGCCTCCTCAAGTGGGTCCCTGACCCCCTCGTATCCTGACGGGGAGACACCTCCCAGTAGGGGCCAACAGACATCTCATACAGGAGAGCTCTGGCTGGCATCTGTCAGGTGCCCCTCTGGGACAAAACTTCCAGAGGAAGTAACAGGCAGCAATCTTTGCTGTTCTGCAGCCTCCACCAGTGATACCCAGGCAAACAGGGTCTGGAGTGGACCTCCAGCAAACTCCAGCAGACCTGCAGCAGAGGGGCCTGATGGTTAGAAGGAAAACTAACAAACAGAAAGGAATAGTATCAACATCAAGAAAAAGGATGGCCACTCAGAGACCCCCTCTGAAGGTCAGCGACTTCAAAGACCAAAGGTAGATAAATCCACGAAGGTGGGAGAAACCAGCACAAAAAGGCTGAAAAGTCCAAAAACCAGAATGCCTCCTCTCCTTCAAAGGATCACAACTTCTCGCCAGAAAGGGAACAAAACTAGATAGAGAATGAGTTTGACAAATAGACAGAAGTAGGCTTCAGAAGGTGGGTAATAACAAACTACTCTGAGGTAAAGGAGCATGTTCTAATCCAATGCAAGAAAGCTAAGAACCTTGAAAAAAGGTTAGAGGAATTGCTAACTAGAATAACCAGTTTAGAGAAGAACATAACCGACTTGCTGGAGCTGAAAAACGCAGCACAAGAACTTCATGAAGCATACACAAGTATCAATAGCTGAATCGATCAAGCAGAAGAAAGGATATCAGAGATTGAAGATCAACTCAATGAAACAAAGTGAGAAGACAAGATTAGAGAAAAAAGAGTGAAAAGAAATGAACAAAGCCTCCAAGAAATATGGGACTACTTGAAAAGTCCAAATCTACGTTTCATTGGTGTACCTGAAAGTGACGGGGAGAATGGAACCCAGTTGGAAAACACTCTTCAGGATGTTATCAAGGAGAACTTCTCCAACCTAGCAAGGCAGGCCAACATTCAAATTCAGGAAATACAGAGACCACAACAAAGCTACTCCTCCAGAAGAGCAACCCCAAGATACATAATCATCAGATTCACTAAGGTTGAAATGAAGGAAAAAAATGTTAAGGGCAGCCAGAGAGAAAGGTTGGGTTACCCACAAAGGGAAGCCCATCAGACTAACAGCAGATCTATCTGCAGAAATCCTACAAGCCAGAAGTGAATGGGGGCCAATATTAAACATTCTTAAAGAAAAGAATTTTCAACCCAGAAGTTCATATCCAGCCAAACTAAGCTTCATAAGTGAAGGAGAAATAAAATCCTTTACAGACAAGCAAATGCTGAGAGATTTTGTCACCACCAGGCCTGCCTTACAAGAGCTCCTGAAGGAAGCACTGTACATAGAAAGGAACAACTGGTACCAGCCACTGCAAAAACATGCCAAATTGCAAAGACCATCAATGCTAGGAAGAAACTGCATCAACTAATGAGCAAAATAACCAGCTAACATCATAATGACAGGATCAAATTCACACATAACAATATTAACCTTAAATGTAAATGGATGGAGTGCCCCAATTAAAAGACACAGACTGGCAAATTGGGTAAAGAGTCAAGACCCACTGGTATGCTGTATTCAGGAGACCCATCTCAGGTGCAGAGACACATAGGCTCAAAATAAAGGGATGGAGGAATATTTACCAAGCAAATGGAAAGCAAAAACAACAACAACAACAAAAACAAAACAAAACAAAACAAAACAAAAAAAACAAAAGCAGTGGTTGCATTCCTAGTCTCTGATAAAACGGACTTTAAACCAACAAAGATCAAAAGAGACAAGGGCATTACATAATGGTAAAGGGATCAATGCAACAAGAAGAGCCAACTATCCTAAATATATATGCACCCAATATAGGAGCACCCAGATTCATAAAGCAAGTTCTTAGAGACCTACAAAGAGACTTAGACTCCCACACAATAATAGTGGGAAAATTTAACACCCCACTGTCAATATTAGACAGATCAATGAGACAGAAAATTAACAAGGACATCCAGGGTTTGAACTCAGCTCTGGACCAAGTGGAACTAGTAGACATCTACAGAACTCCCCACCACAAATCAACAGAATATATGTTCTTCTCAGCACCACATCACACTTATTCTAAAACTGACCACATAATTGGAAGTAAAATACTCCTTAGCAAATGCAAAAGAATGGAAGTAATAACAAACAGCCTGTCAGACCACAGTGCAATCAAATTAGAAATCAGGATTAAGAAACTCACTCAAAACCACACAACTACATGGAAACTGAACAACCCGCTCCTGAATGACTACTGGGTAAATAATGAAATGAAGGCAGAAATAAAGATATCCTTTGAAACCAATGAAAACAAAGACACAACGTGCCAGAATCTCTGGGACACATTTAAAGCAGTGTGTAGAGGGAAATTTATAGCACTAAATGCCCACAAGAGAAAGCAGGAAAGATCTAAAATCGACACCCTACCATCACAATTAAAAGAACTAGAGAAGCAAGAGCAAACAAATTCAAAAACTGTCAGAAGACAAGAGATAACTAAGATCAGAGCAGAACTGAAGGAGATAGAGGCACAAAAAAACCCTTCAAAAAATCAACGAATCCAGGAACTGATTTTTTGAAAGATCAACAAAATAGATAAACCACTAGCCAGACTAATAAAGAAGAAAAGAGAGAAGATTCAAATCGATGCAATAAAAAATGATAAAGGGGATGTCACCACCGATCCCTCAGAAATACAAACTACTATTAGAGAATACTATAAACACCTCTATGCAAATAAACTGAAAATCTAGAAGAAATGGATAAATTCCTGGGCACATACACCCTCCCAAGACTAAACTAGGAAGAAGACAAATCCCTGAATAGACCAATAACAAGTTCTGAAATTGAGGTAGCAATTAATAGACTACCAACCAAAAAAAGTCCAGGACCAGATGGATTCACAGCTGAATTCTACCAGATGTACAAAGAGGAGCTGGTACCATTCCTTCTGAAACTATTCCAAACAATAGAAAAACAGGGAATCCTCCCTAACTCATTTTATGAAGCCAACATCATCCTGGTACCAAAACCTGGCAGAGACACAACAAAAAAAGAAAATTTCAGGCCAGTATCCCTGCTAAACATCCATGAGAATATCCTGAATAAAATACTGACAAACCAAATCCAGCAGCACATCAAAAAGCTTATCCACCAGGATCAAGTCAGCTTCATCCCTGGGATATAAGGCTGGTTCAACATGAGCAAATCAATAAACGTATCCATCACATAAACAGAACCAATGACAAAAACCACATGATTATCTCAATAGATGCAGAAAAGGCCTTTGATAAAATTCAACAGCACTTCATGCTAAATGCTCTCAATAAACTAGGTATTGATGGAGCATATCTCAAAATTATAAAAGCTCTTTGTGACCAACCCACAGCCAATATCGTGCTGAATGGGCAAAAACTGGAAGCATTCCCTTTGAAAACCTGCACAAAGCAAGGATGCCCTCTCTCACCACTCCTGTTCAACATAGTATTGGAAGTTCTGGCCAGGGCAATCAGCCAAGAGGAAGAAAGATAGGATATTCAGTTAGGAAAAGAGGAAGTCAAATTGTCTCTGTTTGCAGATGATGTGATTGTATATTTAGAAAACCCCATCATCAGAGCCCAAAATCTCCTTAAGCTGATGAGCAACTTCAACAAAGCCTCAGGATACAAAATCAATGTGCAAAAATCACCAGCATTCCTATACACCCAATAACTGAAAACAGAGAGCCAAATCATGAGTGAACTCCCATTCACAATTGCTACAAAGAGAATAAAATAGCTAGCAATACAACTTACAAGGGATGTGTAGGACCTCTTCAAGAGAACTACAAACCACTGCTCAAGGAAATAAGAGAGGCCACAAACAAATCGAAGACATTCTATGCTCATGGATAGGAAGAATCAATATCCTGAAAATGGCCATACTGCCCAAAGTAATTTATAGATTCAATGCTATCCCATCAAACTACCCTTGACTTTCTTCACCGAATTGGAAAAAAAACTACTTTAAATTTTGTATGGAACCAAAAAAGAGCATGCATAGCCAAGACAATCCTAAGCAAAAAGAACAAAGCTGGAGGCATCATGCTACCTGACTTCAAACTATATTACAAGGCTACAGTAACAAAAACAGCATTGTACTGGTACCAAAACAGATATATAGACCAGAAATAATGCCACACATCTACAACTACCTGAACTTTGACAAACCTGACAAAAACAAGCAATGGTGAAAGAATTCCGTATTTAATAAATGGTGTTGGGAACACTGGCTAGCCATATGCAGAAAGCTGAAACTTGATCCCTTCCATACACCTTATGGAAAAATTAACCCAAGATGGATTAAAGACTTAAATGTAAGTCCTCAAACCATAAAAACCCTAGAAGAAGACCTAGGCAATACCATTCAGGACATAGGCATGGGCAAAGACTTCATGACTAAAACACAAAAAGCAATGGCAACAAAAGCTAAAATTGATAAAGTGAACAGGCAACCTACAGAATGGGAGAAAAAGTTTGCAATCTGTCCATCTGACAAAGGGCTAATATCCAGAATCTACAAAGAACTTAAACAAATGTATAAGAATAAAACAACCCCCTCAAAAAGTGAGCAAAGGGTATAAAGAGACACTTCTCAAAAGAAGACATTTATGTGCCCAACAAACATATGAATAAAAGCTCATCATCACTGGTCATTAGATAAATGCAAATGAAAACCGCAATCAGATACCATCTCACACCAGTTAGAATGGCGATCATTAAAATGTCAGGAAACAACACATGCTGGAGAGGATGTGAAGAAATTGGAACACTTTTACACTGTTGGTGGGAATGTAAATTAGTTCAACCTTTGTGGAAGACAGTGTGGTGATTCCTCAAAGATCTAGAACTAGAAATACCATTTGACCCAGCAATCCCATTACTGATTATATACCCGAAGGATTATAAATCATTTTACAATAAGGGCACATGCACATGTATGTTTATTGCAGCACTGTTCACAATAGCAAAGACTTGGAACCAACCCAAATGCCCATCAATGATAGACTGGATATACACCATGAAATACTATGCAGCTGTAAAAAAGGATGAGTTCCTGTCCTTTGCAGGGACATGGATATAGCTGGAAGCCATTATTCTCAGCAAACGAACACAAGAACAGAAAACTAGATACTGCATGTTCTCACTCATAATTGGGAGTTGAACAATGAGAACACATGGACACAGGGAGGGGAACATCACACACCAGGACCTTTCAGGGGTTGGGGGTGCTAGGGCAGGGATAGCATTAGCAGAAATACCTAATGTAGATGATGGGTTGATGGGTGCAGCAAATCACCATGGCACGTATATACCTGTGTAACAAACCTGCACGTTCTGCACATGTACCCCAGAATTTAAAGTATAATAATAATAAAAAAAAGTTTTAAGGGTAAAAAATTTGTTTATCCCATTCTTTATGCAGAATTTTGTAATATGTGTTGCAATATAATGTAGCATACATTAGCAGCTCCTGCATTTGAAGAATTCAGATACTTAACTATCAGTTCTTTGCTTTTCTTTCCTTATTTCATATTTAATCACAGGTAGTGAGAAAGCAGTAAATTGAGGCCAATGAAATGCCTACTCCAATGCCTACTCTGGCCAAGCAAAGCAATTTCCAGCATATTCAGCACTCCTAGAATTCATATGGACACTTTCAAACAAAGAGACACATGAGCTACCAGCTAGCATCTTAGGCTTCATTCCACCAAACTATTCTTGTAACTTCTAGTGTTCACTACCAGAGAAGGCATCTGTGCAACTTCCCTTTGATTTCTTGCCATTTCCAGGTTTTGCAATAGTTCATGGCAGCTTAGCAAGCTAAAGGCTTTGTCTTATTAAATCCTAGGTTTCTTTTTGTTTCTTTTTGGCCCAACTTATGACAGTGAAGCCAGCTTGAAGGGCCCAGCCTGGCAGGGTACATCCCCAGTGATTTATGCAGTGTCACTTTCTTGATGATTAACCTGAATAAATCATGCTGGTCTTTTCAGCAGTGATATAGCTGCCCTTTATATGCTTATCAATTTTCAGGGCAAGGAGAAATTAGCCCAGTTCTCCCATTGATCTTGTGAAGAAAATTGTACCTCACAGCAAGGATTCTACTGATAAACAACGAACACTACAAATAACTTACTGGTTTACTTTTTAATCAATAAAGTTTCTCACAATGCATTATTCTAGCAATCGGCCTAAATCACTGTGCCTATAACTTTTGTTTTCAAAACCTTTTAATCTAATTGGAAAATCTTCCTTTGTACTAGTAATAAACAGTCACTAAACTGTCTGCACCTAATTGAGCTATAGTAATTTATGGGTGCTCCCTACTGTTTTTCCCCTCTTTAATCAGAGAGACCACTTTATGTCTTTAACTAATGAATTCTAAGAATCCACCCAGTAGATCTGATCAAATGTCACTGGTGAATAAATCTTCATTAACAGTGGCAGGTTCTGAACCTGGTCTCCATCTTGATTTAATTATTGTCTCACAACTGTACTCTCATCAGGTTTTCTCCATTTCTTCAAATAATGCCTTCATCACCAGATCTACTTGTAAAGCACAACCCCCTGCCGTCAAGAGTCTGTGCCAGTCCTAGGAATGAAAGCAGGGCCGACTCACTAGTGTAATCAAGACCACATCACCCGGTTGTGGACATTGTAATTGCTATTTCAGCTTCCTCTGCATTCTTCTCTGCATCCTTTCACTTTTGCCTGTATAAAAACATGCATGTTTCTATCAATTAATCCAGTAAATTAATTTATGCTACCCCCAATCAGAAAAGTACATACACCAATAAACTGTTAAGAGGAAAACATATATTCACAATAGGTCATTATCTCCATAGGAAAGTGTTCTTGGGAAATCAGTTTGATGTCATAAATTTGTTTAAGGTCAGAGCAAATGGAGTTAGATGATACTGAGTGTGGTGGGGTGTCACAAAGCTGGCACCTACCAATGACCAGCCAGATCCACTGAAAGGACTCCATCAACTATGTTCATGTTAAACTGACAGATCTCTTATTTTCCTGAACTGTTTTCAGGAACACTGACTGATAAAGTTTGTTTTGAATGCTCCTTGTTATCCCACCTGCTTTATTTGAAATCATGTCCTCATGCTATCATTTATATAGTCCTCATGCTATCATTTATATTGTCCTCATGCCATCATTTGTATAGTTCTAAAAAAGTATGCCGTCCACAAATGACTCACGTACATTAAATTGAAAAAACAGAAATAGATGCTGACGTGCAGGAGAGAGCAACAATATTAGCCATGATAGTTAGTTTAATTGCTAGTTAACAAATATTTATGTAGAATTTACTGTGGGCCAGATACTCTTCTAAACACTTTGCAGTTTTTAATCATCAACACAACCCTAAAAATCTGCTCTTATTTTAAAATCTTTTTTCCCAGATGAGAGAACTGAGGCAAAGAGAGTTTGAGTGTCTTGCTATAGTCACACAATTAACAAATGGCAGAACCGGGATTTGAGTCCAGGTAGACATGTTTTGGAAGTAATTAGTTTTTCTCTAAACTATGCTGTTTGCACAACTGAACACTTGACTTGATTCTGAGTTCTAGACTATAGGACAAAAATGGAGCATACTGATAGCTCAGGAAATCTTGATATTTAGTCATAAAAATATGTTCTAGCACTTAACCCATGAACCCTGGTCTTTCACAGTGATCCTCCAAAAAGAGATTCCATAGTTCAAAAAATTTAGGAAACTTTATCCATGTTATGACTCCCTTGGACATTCACAAACACATTAGCATGCTAAAGGTTCTGAGAGGATGTTCAATGGAGACACAAGCATAACTAGGTGCAGTCTAGTACTTGCACACCTACTGGACAGCAAAACAATGTTTTCTGGAAGAGTCACTAAAATCTTGCCAATCTAATGACTCATCATGAATCACCATTATGGAAAAGTAATACTAAAGTCTTGTTTAATGTGGGTCCTTAGAGGAACATTGAATAATCTTTTCAACATTTTCTTGACACAAATCCATAAAAGAAATGCCAAAGTGGTTTTTACATGGCATGGCCGTCATTCACTCTTTTTTTTTTAACTGAATGTTTAGCACAGAAATAAAATGTGTTAAAAGATGGTCCTGAGGGAAGCTAGACTACATATAACCTTAATATGGTCATTAGATGGAATGAAGACAGAATGCCCGAGCTAGTGGCCACAATTTCCAAGATGTTAGCTGATAAAATGTGTTTTAGATTAGTTGCTTCTTAACTGAGATTTTGGAAAACACTTATTACATTACATTTTTAAATGGTACAGCTATTTTATTTCATAGTATAGAAGCTTTTATTTCTTTAAGAGTGGTCATTTTTCTAAGCATTGGGTCAATTGCTGACTTCCAGAAAAATTGTATGTAGCCTTCTTTGTGTTGGGCCTTCAGCTGACTTTTCTATAGTCCCTACAGTATATCTATGCACAAAATTAGGGAAGTTCTTTTCTTGTCTTTTTCTGGTTAGGTATTCTTCAGAAGCTAAAAGTATGAGCATTAGACTAATCAGAATGTAGTTAGAAACTCTAGTTTCCATGTGTTAGCTTTGAGACTGTAGCCAAGTTACTTTTCATTGATAAGCCTCTGATTCTTTACCTCTGCAATGGGGGTAATGAAAGAATATATTTTGCGAGGTTATCATGATGTTTAACTGACCTAATGCTAATAAAGCACTTAGTATAGTGCTTGGCATTATCCAGTAACTGGCGTCTATTCCTAGTATCACAGCTTAAATCATTAGTTTGCATCAGATATACTAGACAGCTTAGGCCAGGTGTGGTGGCTCACAGCTGAATCCCAGCTCCTTGGGAGGCCAAGGTGGGCAGATCACTTGAGGTCAAGAGTTCGACACCACCCTGGCAAACATGGTGAAACCTCGTTTCTACTGAAAATACAAAATTAGCCAGGTGTGATGGCAGGAGCCTATAATCCCAGCTACTCAGGAGGCTGAGGCAGGAGAATCACGTGAATCCAGGAGGCGGAGGTTGCAGTGAGCCGAGATCGAGCCACTGCACTCCAGCCTAGGTGACAGAGAGAGACTCCATCTCAAAAACAAAACCAAACAAAAAGAAATACTGGAGGGCTTGTTAAAACATGGATTTCTGAGACCCACCCCTAACATTTCTGATTCACTGGATCTGTGGTGGGGCTAGAATCTGAATTTCTAATAACTTCCCAGGTGATGCTGATGCTGCTTGTTTGTGGGCCACATTTTGAGAATCACTGCCATAGAGTAAGTGACAAATGTTCTATATAAACAGAAGTTGTCAAAAGTGATCAAGTTCTGTGAGGTCATTTTTTTCTGGACACATTTGTCAAATGCACATATCAGACATATTTAATCTCTTTTGGCAGAGCAATAATTGTCTTGCATAGATCCTGCTGAGTATGTGAGTTGTGAAGAGATATACAAAATCTTCAACTGTTCTACACTGCTCTTGCATTTGCCTCGGATGATTTCCTTCTTCCAAAGAGTAGTGCATTCATGCTGAATGCTAAGTAGCAATGTTTTGTGTCATTGTTGTTTTGTATCAAATTCCCTTGCTGTGACATAATGGCCGTCTGACATATTGGAACCCATTTTCATTCTCGCAGGTCTGTTTTAATGGTACAGTTAGGATAGTTCTCCCCTAAAAGTTATCCAATGAGAAGTAACACTTATGAGTCACTGAGGGCCTCTGAGTATGCAGCCTGGAATAGAATCATTGAAAAGTTCATCTTTTCACCTTAGACCAGATGGAAATAGTAAGAGTAAATGATAGACAGAAGGAAAACAGATTTCATTAAACTTTCCAAGTTAATATCGACCTGGGAACATACAATAATTTCAAAGTTTGTCTTGATAGCTGAGAAAGACTTCTTAATTGGAGATAATGTCAAAAAGGTAGTTATTTCCCAAATTTCCTGCTCACCTACCATCTGCTACTGATAAAGTTTTGGCAATTAAGGAATGTTAAGAATAAGTTCTAATTATCTTCCTTCTCCTGTATCTTGTTCCCTTGATGCTCTTTGATGGCCTTGACTGAAGCCCACATGTGAATCACAGCTTCTACTGCATGCCCACTCCTTTTGCCTAAATATGCAGTTATCATCATACATCCAGAATTGCCCTCTGGTAAGTGTCTGATGTTTGAAAACATAATCTTATACTTCTCTCCATTTTGGTGGCCACTCATCTTATTTTACCTTAATAACTCTGAGTGTGGCATTGATAGCAGTTGTAAATTTAATTTCCCAGTAATGGCTGGGAATGATTGGCTTAGTCCACTTTGATAAACATGATGATGTAGAAGTGGCAACCTTTCTCACCAACTGTGTGTATTGAGATTTGTGAGGTCGTATCCTATTGGTAGCAACTCTTCTCTCAAAACTCATAGGAACGAATTTTAGAATCTCTATTTTCAGTAGGGAAATTTTGCTTCCTGTGCTTTGGGTACTGCCAGTAGAGAACAGAAAAGAATCACAGCATTATTTTAGAAGTAATTTTTGACTGGAGCCTCTGCTTGTACAGGAATAAGAGTTTCTTTTCCCTCCTACAGCCAGATAAAAACGATGACATTCAGACTCTACATTGCTATGGTATTTTCGAGGTGAAAGATTCACCTCACTGCAGTGACCTGGAAAAGTACAAACTAATTGTTTCACTGCGGCCATCATAAATATATCACCACAAGTGTGCCCAGAGTGCACAGAAAACCCCAAAATATCTGAGTTTATAAAATTTATTTATACCCAGCATCTGTTCAATTTCTTCAGTAATTATTTTAGTCAAAACTGGAGAGCCAGATCCTGATAATTTTCCACTTTATTACACAATCCAAAAATGCATGAGAATACAAGCAGTTATTCTTTGTGAAGCACTTATAGGAGCAAAACCATATGTTGTTCTTGTTTGGGATAATTATAAATCTTTAAACATCTAAATGTAGTTGTCTCTAAAACTGATATTAACTCCAAAACAAACAACTTAATGTGAACAGCTCAACACCTAGAATGTCAATGTGCAAAACAGTTCATTAGGTTTATGCATATATCCATGCAAATAATTACAAATGTCTTTCATGCACTTGCATGAATAATCAAGGTAGGCTTATAAATTAACACACTTAAAAATATTTTACTAGGACTTGAAGCCATTGACTTTTAGATTTAGGACTACAAAATCATCTAGTTCAGAGGTTCTCAAGCTTGACTATGTATCATAAGCTTTAGAGTTAAAAATGCATATACCTGAGCCCCACGTTTGAGATTGTTATTCATAGTGTCTTCAAGATAATCTTGGCGTGTATATTTTTAGATGTTTTACAGGTCATTCTTATGGGCACCTGTATTCATTTCCTAGAGCCACCATGACAAATTACCACAAACTGAATGGGTTAATAAAACAGAAATGTATTCTCTCACAGTTTTGGAGATGAGAAGTCCAAAATCAAGATGTTGACAGAGCCATTGTTCCTCTCAAGGCTCTTTCTTTCTTTTCCTCTTTCTGCCTTCTGGTGATTGCTGGCCATCCTTTGTATTCTTTGGCTTTCAGCTGCAACACTTTATTCTTAGCCTTTGTTGTCACATGGGATTCTTTCCTGTGTGTCTATGTCTCTGTGTCTCCTTATAAGGACAACAGTTATTGAATTTAGGGCCCACCATTTGAGGGGCTAGGGGAGGGAAGTAACACAATTCAACCCTATATAGCATCCAACTGAAAAGCAGTGATCTACTTGTTCTAAAACCTACAGACATTATTGAGTTTAACATAGAGAAGTTAAGCAACCTGCACTGGTTGTTACCTATTTCTTCATAAGAAACTATCCAACCAAATTAAAACAATAAAGCTTTATTATTGGTTATTATTATTGTTATGAGTTTCTGAGGATCAGGAATCTAGAATTTTAGTAGCTTAGAATCTAGAATTCTAGCTCTGAATCTTTCACAAGGTTGTAGCAAGTTACCATCTGGGGATACATTCAGCTGATGGTTTGAAAAGGGCTGGAAGATCCACTTCTGATCTCATTTAGTTTCTCACTGTCTGTTGGCTTTGGGCCTCAGTTCCTTGTCATGTAAGACTTTCCATAGGAATGTTCCCAATGTGGCAGTTAGTGCCACCAGAGTGAGTGAGAGAGTAGAAAATAGAGATCAACCAAGACAGAAGCCAAAGTGTCTTAGGTAACTTAATCTTGGAATTGACATACCATCACTTCTGCCATATCTAATTGATCACACGGACCAATCCAGATACAGTATTGGTCTGTGTACAATGCCGTCAGGTATGAATCAAAGGGGCCATCTTGTAAGCTAGCTACCATAGTAGGGAGTCAGGAATTATGATATTAGGGCCAGGAGACTAACCCATTGCACATCAAGGTGTAATCCAAGGGTTGGCATCACTTGGGAGCTTAGTAGCAATGCTAAATTTCAGGCCTTACCTCAGACATACTGAATTAGAAACTATAGTTTAATAAAATTCCCAGGTGATTTGTATGCACATTAACTTTTGAGAAGCACTAGATGAGAAAAAATTACTAATTCAGACACGTTGCCCTTTCAAAGTAATTGCCTTGGGTAGTAACCTAGTCCAAAGAGATTGCCATTGCTTGAAATCTGCTATGAACTTTGCTTTGGGCCAAAGCAGAAAACAGTCTAAGAAATCAATATCTTCCCACTGCCGTCACACCACCTTACTGTAATCATAACATTTTATCCTTTAGTCATACTAATTTTATTTAACAGAGTTGACTGAAAGGTTTTTTACTTATTTTTTAGAACACCAAAAATACATTTAAAGAGTAAAAATATATTCTACAGTAAGGTTATTAAAATTGTATTGCATCTTCCAAAGACCATCCCCAAATCATATTGCTGTTTTCAGAAACAGTGTCATGCGTTTCTAGCCTCTTCTTGGAGAAAGGCCATCATGTTGCCCTGAAATTGAAGCCAGTAGTGACCTAAATCTAATTACAAGTATAACTAAGCTCAGACAAAATGAAATACAGATTACATTAACTTAGGCCCCCATATCTGGCAGTCTGACAGAACAGAGATGTGATATGGTTTGGCTGTGTCCCCACCCAAATCTCAGGTTGAATTGTAATCCCCATGTGTAGAAGGAGGGGCCTAATGGGAGGGGATTGAATCATGGGGTTGGACTTCCCCCTTCTTGTTCTCATGATAGGATTATCATGAGATCTGCTTGTTTGAAACTGTATAGCTCTTCCCCTTTGCTTTCTCTTTCCTGCCACCATGTGAAGAAGGTGCTTGCCTCCCCTTTTCCTTCCACCATGATTGTGAGTTTTCTGAGGCTTCCCAGACATGTTTCCTGTACAACCTGTGGAACTGTGAATCAATTAAACTTCTTTTCTCCATAATTTGCCCAATCTCAGGTAGTTCTTTATAGCAGTGTGAGGACAGAATAACACAAGATGTAAACTTTTCTGGGCTAAATAATACTTATTTAGCATTATACTATTTTGTATTTTTAACACACAATAACTATCATGTGATCCAAACTTCTAAGACAAATAAAACATCAAAAAATTAATACATCCTCAGAAGGGAAACCGTTATAAAGTCTGATGCAGAGATGGCTTAGATGTTGGAATTTTCAGACAAGAGCTTTAAAATAACTATGAGAAATATGTTAAATGCTTTAAAGAAGAGGTTAGCAACATTGGGGTACAACAGGAGAGAGATGAAAACTATAGAAAAGAAACAAATGGGATTATTAGAAATAAAAATATATGATAAAAAACCTGAAGAATTTATTTGATCAGTTGATGCAGTCTGGGCACAGACAAGGAAAGAGTCAGTGAACCTGAAATGATGTTAACAGGACTTATAAAATCTGAAACCTATGAACATACACACAAAATTCTTAACAAAACGTTAGCAAATCAAATCACATGACAAAGGAGAAGAATAATGCATCATGACAAGAGTTTATCTCAGAAATGCTCTTTGTTGAACACTAAAATTTTGACTGATTTAATTCACCATATTAAGAAGAAAATATCATAAAATAACTTCAATAGAACCAGAACATGCATTTGGTAATATTCAGCACTCATTTTAATAAGAACTTTCAGAAAATGAGAAATAGAAAGAAACTTTCTCAGTCTAACTTAGGGCATCTATGAAAAACCTACAGACAAATCTGAAACCTATGAACATACACACAAAATTCTTAACAAAACGTTAGCAAATCAAATCATATGACAAAGGAGAAGAATAATGCATCATGATAAGAGTTTATCTCAGAAATGCTCTTTGTTGAACACTAAAATTTTGACTGATTTAATTCACCATATTAAGAAGAAAATATCATAAAATAACCTCAATAGAACCAGAACATGCATTTGGTAATATTCAGCACTCATTTTAATAAGAACTTTCAGAAAATGAGAAATAGAAAGAAACTTTCTCAGTCTAACTTAGGGCATCTATGAAAAACCTACAGCCAACATCACACATGATGAAACATTCATCACTCTCCTTTGAGATCAGAAATAATGCAAGGGTGTCAACTCTGATCACTATATTTTAACTTACAGCTGTTTTACATATATATTAGGACCAAGGTTCTTACTAAGTAAGCTGAGACATTCTTATCCAGCAGTGTCTTGTCCTCTACTTGCCCCTGCAGCCCTGGGATTTGAAGATAACACTATACTGTAGTGATAGTCTCAATCCTGATATTATTCAACATCTCAATAATTCATTCATTTTATTAATTCAGAGTCCAGTATGTGTCAGGAACTGTGCTAGGTGAAGTCCTTACAGTTGTTCTTAAGTAACATACAGACAGGTGGAGGAGGAACATAATAAACTAGAATTTAGAATAAAGGTTGACACATGCTGTTACAGAAATAATCACAGACTCCCACTGGCACAAAGAAGAACACATCACCTAGTCTTGGAAAGAGGAGGAAGTAAGGAAAGTCTTCCAGGAGCCCGTGAGTATTAATCCTCAGATTTGACTACTAGCCATTGTTTCTTGCTATTAGGTCCCAAACCACAAACACTAAATCCAGTGCAACCAGAGGAACTTGCCAGAGACCCCATGTGTCTTTGGCCTTCTTTACTGTTAATAAGGCAGAGACAGCATAACAGGAGGTACATTCATTTATCCCAACTTGAGAGAAAGGGAGTGTGTCTTCACCCCAATAGTACAGTAAAGACAAGGATCAGTGGTGCAGTAAACTTGCTGTTGGCCCTTTCTTTCAATCTGGCTGTTTGTGTGACCATTTACGGTGATCAGTCCTTCCTGGTCTTGGTACTGCAGCTACTTTTTCTGGAATTATCTGACTTATTCATAATTTTCTGTATCCACTATCCCCAATGAATGCATGTAGAGAAACTAACTAGATAATGAGCAGATACTGCACCACACTTATATTTCCCTCAAGCCAATGGAGAGCTACTGAAGGAGTTTAAGAAGGGAAAGGTGTCACTGTATGATTCACATTTATTTTAAGAAATATTACTCCAGTGACAATGTGAAAAGTGAACTTAAGGGGGCAAGACAGGAGTCTTGGAAACCATTTAGGAAATTGTTACCATAGTGGACTGCAAAATGATGATGGCATAATTCAAGGTGCTGGTGCTAAGGTGGAGAGAAAAGGACAGATACAAGAGAATGAATAAATAGCACTTAGTGGTTAATTGGACTTGAGGAGTGACATAGGATAATTATGTTTTAGCCCTTCCTCCTTCATCATTCATCAAAGGACATTTTTGTAACATTATATATTACCCTCCTGAATTTTATACTTCTTCATGAAAGCATGCATTTCTCAATTACCTTGTTAAAAGCCTGAAAATGTTCATCCATTTATAATTTTTTTGTGTCAGCTCCTACGATAGCAAAAATAAAATGTATCTTTGAACAAACTATTATATCATGTTACAGCACAAAACTTTGAACATTATATTCAAGTATGCATAAGATAAATACAAGATGCAATTTCCATCTATCGTAAAATAGCTTTATGTGTTTATTTCAGTGGAAACTTGAACTAAAAGAAATCAAAGAGGTATTTCAAGTTGTTTTCTGGTTAACCCTAAATTAACCAAGATTCTCTCTTTATATCAGTATCTATTATTGAAAATCTTGTTAGAAATAAACTGTTCATCTCCTACCTCACTAACTACACCATACCAAACATAATTCAATTTCTTTCATGAGTTAAAGATGTTTTCATACCCATAAGTCATTATAAACATCAATGTGTCCTCACTCTTGAACTCACTTTATATTTAGTGATGACTTGATCCATTAAGCGAAACAAGGAAAGAATAAGATCAAGTTTCCTTATAAAACTAATAACCTAGTAGAATAAATAGCATAGTTTCAGGGGGGAATTTTAGATTTAACTTTCAGGAACGCTATTGAATGCAGACAATGTGCATGTTGCGGGAGGGAGCATTTTCATGTATCGGCCTAGAGGGAACAGTAGTGTTCTGAAAGAAGAAGCATGTCTGGCTTTTCAAAGAATAACAAGGAGGTAAGTATGGCTGCAAATGAGTGAGCAAGAAGTGGGAAATGAGGTCTGAGAAGTGATCAGCTACAGTGGTTTTAAAACATAACTCTCAAGTTATTTGGCACTCCTCCCATTGAGGAAGAAGGCTTAGACCCCATCCCTTGAATCTAGGCCTAGCAACTGCTTGACGAGTATCATAAGGTTGACTTGAGGCTGTGCCAGTTTCCAGGTCAGACTTTAAGAAAATGGCATCTTCTACTTCCTGTTCCTTGGGATGCTTACTCTTGGAGCACAGCCACCAAGCTGTGAGAAGTGCAATCCATACGGAGAGGCTACGTATGGGGGTATGGCCAACAGCCCACTGGCTGCAAGCATCAATTGCCAGACTTGTAATTGAGAAGGCCTGTCAGATGATTCGAGTCCCTTCCAGCCACCATCAGACTCTGAATGCATGAGAGGACCTGAGAGAGAACTGCCAAGCTGAGCCAAATTAACCCCAGAAACATAAGGTATAATAATAAAATGATCACTGTTTTCATTCATTAACTATTGGGGGTGATTTGTTACACAGCCATAAATAAATAATCAAAACAGAAATGTCTACATCCAGCAAGGATGTTTAGGCCATTACAAGGCTTTCACACTGAGTGAGAGATTGCCAAATTTGAGCTGAAGTTTGCTTTGGTTTGATTTATATTTTAAAAGGATATAAGTGCTGATTTGATAGAACAGTGTGAGGGTCAAGAATGAAAGGAAAGGACACTGATGTAACCTAGGTGTGAATTCGTGGGTTTGAACCAAGGTGGTGAGCACTGATCATAATCAGGGTATATTTAAATGTAGGCTTAACAGGATTTCCCGGAAACATTGATGTGAGTGTAGTCCATTTGTATATGTGCATTCTCTCAACAATGATCTTTATTTATAAGCATTTCCTCTTAGCACAGACAGAGTAGGTACACATGTTTCTGGCTTCTGTCAGTCTGTTAACACATTTAAAGGGAACATTGTTCAGGCACTTGCTGTTTCTTGTACATTCAGTTTCATCCTATGGAAAATATTTCATTGGTCACTAGTGGCCACTTTTATAGTTTTCTTTAAACTTCCAAAAGTAAGTACTCCTTCTTCCCTCTTTAGTTAAAGTAAGATAAATGAAAAGTAAAACAAACAAACAAAAACCCACAGCAGACTGGATACTACCTGGAGCCCATCTAGATGTATTTACCTGGTCTCTCATTTAAGGGAGCGATTTAGTTGGATGAGTACTGTATTAGTCAGGGTTCTCTAGAAGGACAGAACTAATGAAAAAAATATATATATATATACACACACACACATATATATAATATATATATATAAAATATATATAAAAATCATATAATCCAATATATATAGTCCATTATGATCATATATATATATGGAAGTTTATTGAGTATTATTAACTCACATGATCACGAGGTCCCACAGTAGACTGTCTGCAGGCTGAGGAGTAAAGAGAGCCAGTCCGAGTTCCAAAACTGAATAACTTTGAGTCCAATGTTCGAGGGCAAGAAGCATCCAGCACGGGAGAATGGCATTGTAATTTTGACTTCAAAAGGCCATTCCACCCTTCCATCAGTCCGGCTCCTTCAGGATGATGAGGAACATGGTAAGACCAGAGAATTCCATGAGCATGAGCCCACTGCTGCACTTCTTTAGCCATATAGTGAGTGCCTCGGTCAGAGGCAATGCTGTGTGGAATACCATGACGGTGGATAAGGCATTCTGTGTGTCCATGGATGGTAGTTTTGGCAGAAACATTGTGTGCAGGATAGGCAGACCCATATCCGGAGTAAGTGTCTATTTCCAGTGAGGACAAACCTCTGCCCTTTCCATGATGGAAGAGATCCAATATAATCAACCTGCCACCAGGTAGCTCGCTGATCACCCTGAGGAATGGTGTCATATCAAGGGCTCAGTGTTGGTCTCTGCTGCTGGCAAATTGGGCACTCAGCAGTGGCTGGAGCCAGATCAGCTTTGGTGAGTGGAAGTCCATGTTGCTGAGCCCATGTGTAATCTCCATCCCTGCCACCATGGCCACTTTGTTCATGGGCCCATTGGCCAATGACAGGGGTGGCTGGGGAAAGAGGATGAGTGATGTCCACAGAATGGGTTATCCTATCCACTTGATTATTACAATTCTCCTCTGCTGAGGTCACCCATTGGTGAACACTCACATGGGATACAAATATCTTCACAGATTTTGACCATTCAGAGAGGTCCAACCACAAACCTCTTCCCCAAATTTCTTTACCACCAATTTTCCAATCATGCTTCTTCCAAGCCCCTGACCATCCAGCCAAACCATTGACTACAGTCCATGAATGAGTATATAATTGCATATCTGGCCATTTCTCCTTTCATGCAAAGTGCACAACCAGGTGCATTGCTTCTAGTTCTTCCCACTGGGAAGATTTCCCTTCACCACCTTCCTTCATGGATGTCCTAGACAAGGGCTGTAGTGCTGCAGCTGTCCACTTTTGGGTGGTGACTGCTTATCATGTGGAACCATCTGTGAACCAGGCCCTAGTCTTCTCTTCCTCTGTCAACTGATCATAGGGAACTCCCCATGAAGCCCTTGGTGCAGGCTGGAGGAAAGAAGGCAGGGTGGTAGGAGTGGAGACCATAGGTGTTTGAACCACTTCCTCATGTAACCTACTTGTGCCTTCAGGACCTGCTTGAGCCCGATCATGTATATACCACTTCCATTTGATGATGAAATGCTGCTGTGCATGACCCACTTAATGTCTAGATGGGTCAGAAAGCACCCAGTTCATGATAGACAGTTCAGATCACATGGTGACTTGATGACCCATGGTCAAATGTTCAGTTTCCACCAAAGCCCAGTAACAGACCAAGAGTTGTCTCTCAAAAGGACAGTAGTTATCTGCAGAAGATGGCAGGGCCTTGTCCCAAGACCCTAGAGCCCTCCATTGTGTTTCACCTATGGGGGCCTGTCAAAGGCTCCAAGCCGCATCCCCATCTGCCACTGATACCTCAAGCACCATTGGATCTGCTGGATCATATGGCCCAAGTGGCAAAGCAGCTTACACAGCAGCCTGGACCTGTTGCAGAGCTTTCTCCTGTTCTGGATCCCACTCAAAATTGGCAGCCTTTTAAGCCACTTGATAAATGGGATGGAGTAACACACCCAAACGAGGAATGTGGTGCCTCCAAAATCCATGTTGTGCCTTTTTCTTGATTGTAGGAGGGGCCAAATGCAGCAACATATCCTTCACCTTAGAAGGAATATCTCGATGGGCCTCACACCACTGGATCCCTAGAAATTTTACTGAGGTAGAGGTCCCTGAATTTCAGCCGGATGTATTGCGCATCCACTGGCACACAAATGTCTCACCAGTAAGTACAGTGTGTTTATTACTGCTTACTCCCTGGATCCAATCAGCATAAGGTCATCAAGGTAATGGACCAGTGCGATATCTTGTGGAAGTGAAAAGTGATCAAGATCTCTTCTAATAAGATCATGACAAAAGCCGGACTGTTGATATATCCCTGAGGTAGAACTGTAAAGGCATGTTGCTGGCCTTGCTAGCTGAAGCCCAGTTGCTTCTTATGGAACTTATGGACAGGAATGGAGCAAATGCCAAGTCATTGGCTGCATACCAGGTACTAGGAGATGTGTTAATTTGCTCAAATCAATGAAACCACATATGGTAAAGCAGCTGCAATTGGAGTCACCACTTGGTTAAGCTTACGATAATCCACTGTCATTCTCCAAGATCCATCTGTCTTCTGCACAGGCCAAATGGGAGACTTGAATGGGGATGTGATGGGAATCACCACCCCTGCATCTTTCAAGTCTTTGATGCTGGCACTAATCTCCACAGTCCCTCCAGGGATGTAATATTATTTTTGATTTACTATTTTTCTAGGTAGAGGCAGCTCTAATGGCTTCCATTTGGCCTTTTCCACCATAATAGACCTCACCCTACCAGTCAGGGAGCCAGTGTGGGGGTTCTGCCAGCTGCTAAGTATGTCTATGGCAATTATGCATTCTGGTACTGGGGAAATGACAGCAGGATGAGTCCGGGGACCCACTGGACCCACTGTAAGTCAAACCCGAGCTAAAACTCCATTAATTACACAACTACCATAAGCCCCTACTTTAACTGGAGGCCCACAATGACTTTTTGGGTCCCCTAGAATTAGCATCAGCTCAGAGCCAGTGTCCAGTAGTCCCTGAAATGTCTGATCATTTCCCTTTCCCCAAGCCACAATTACCCTGGCAAAAGGACATAGGTCTCCTTGGGGAAGAATGGGAGAATGATTCACTGTCTAAATTGTTGGTAATATAATGGGGTCTGGCCTCCCCTTTATTCAAGTGTTTCTTGGTCTGTAAACTGGCTCAAGTCTGGAAATTGATTGAGGCTATGATTCTGTTTTTATAATTCAAAGTAGTCTTTTGTCCAATCGATCTAGAAATCTTCTGCTTATATAAATTAAGTAGGAATGCAGTAGGCTTCCTATCAATTTCACCTTTACGAACAGTGTGATTAATTAACCAATGCCAGAGCTCTACACGAGTCAGACTGTTCTGATTGCCACTTTGCCTTTGCTGTCCATTATGGTAGCTATGCCCAGCTTGCCTTTGACAGTTGAGTGACACCACTTGGCCCCTGCCACCTTGGGATCTAATTATTCCCATTGTGTTTAAATTTTGTAGTTGAGTGCCTGTGGTTCCCACTGTTAGATCTGACATATAGAAAACAGCAATCACAGAGCTCTTCAAAGATGCAGGTGCTGCCCTCACAAATCTATTTTGCAAGGCATTGGTCAAGGGTGTATCTTCTGGAGCCTCCCAGCTGGGATGAGTAGGACTAAAGTGACTAATCCACTCCACCATCCCAATCTCCCTAAGCCTTTGGATCCCTTCCTCTGCATTAAGCCAAGGGAGATCAGGCATTTCCAGCTCGCTCACAGTGGGCCATCTTTTAATCCATATTTCAGCTAACCAAGCAAATAAACTGTTAGAACCTTTTTAAATTCCCTGAGCTGCCACATTAAATGCAGAGTCCCTACTTAGTGGGCTCAAATCAATAAATTCAGCCTGATCCAACTTTATGTTCCTTCCACCTAATCCCATACCTTTAATATCCATTCCCATGCCTATTCTCCAGATTCTGTTTATATAAATTGGGAAACTCAAGAAGTTCTTTCCGAGTGTAGCACAGCTCCTCATGGGTCACACTCTCAACCTCACCTCTATGGGCCCGCTGGGACTTTAGTCTAGTTATAGGTCTAGAAGCAAACAGGGGTGTTGGAGGTGGCTCCTGAGGAGAATCAACATTATCTTGCCTGGCAACTGCTTCAAGGGAGGCCATCACTGTTGCCTCAGGCAGTGCAGGGTTTATCTCCTCAGACAAATGTGGAAAGCTGATGGCAGCATGGGTCATGGAGGGGATATTGCCACTACTAGGGATGGGGAAGCTGTTTCTTCTGACAAAAAAGGTTCATCAGAGTTTACGGTGTCCCCAGCTTCATCAGGCCCCCCCACACCCATCCCCATTCCAAGTGGCAGAGTCTCCATTCTTTTCCAATCAATGCCCTCACATTAACAGTAGACACCTAGTGAGGCTGTGCCTGCACCTTTCATTGCATGTCAGCCACTCACATGATAAGAGCTTGTGTCTGTTTTTCCACAATTTCAGCTCTTTCTCTACAGGAGATGAGACTCTCACTCAGGTCAATCTTAGCAGATTTGCTCAGTATCTGCTACTGCTTCTGAAGCTGGGAGATAGAATCCCTGAGTTCATCATTTTCTGTCATCACTTTGTCCACTGAACTTAGGTGCAACCAACCAACTTCATTATGTTCCCTGGTTCTCCACATATGGTCAAAGGTATTATGTATGGAGTCACTAAACTTGCCTCTCGCGAGCGATGAATCAGGATTGTCAGTGCACTTATTTTGCATAACTCTAAACAGTTCATGACAAGGACTATCAGTGTTCTCCATACTATTAGAAGTAGGGTCCTTAGCATTTTGGGGTGTAATCATATAAGCAGCTAACTCCAGAAACCCCCAAACCAATGAAAGAACTCAATCCTTAATATTCTGTTCCTCTAGAACCACTCCTGGTAAAAATATCTGTATTAGTCAGAGTTCTATAGAGGGACAGAACTAATGTAATATACATATGTGTGTGTGTATATATATGGAAGTTTATTAAGTATTAACTCACACCAGTCACAAGGTCCCACAATAGGCTGTCTGCATGCTGAGGAGCAAGGAGAGCCAGTCTGAGTTCCAAAATTGAAGAACTTGGAGTCTGATGTTTGACGGCAGGAAGCATCCAGCACAGGAGAAAGATGTAGGCTGGGAGGTTAGGCCAGCCTCTCTTTTTACATTTTTCTGCATGCTTATATTCTAGCTACACTGGCAGCTGATTAGACTGTGCCCACCAAGATTGAGGGTGGGTCTGCCTTTCCCAGTCCACTGACTGAAATGTTAATCTCCGTTGGCTACACCCTCACAGACACACCCAGGATCAATACTTTGTATCCTTCAATCCAATCAAATTGACACTCAGTATTAACCATCTCAGGTAGTGTTTTCACAGTAACACTGTGACAAAGTTTATTGCAGCAGATCACTTTCTTCAATTAAAATAAATATATAATTAAGGCCTATGGAAAACCATGTGTACTTGGTAGGGGAGTCTGCATTTGTTACATTCTTGTGAAATGACAGGGTGCCAATGCCACTATGCATTAAAATATAGTTTTCCTTTTGTGGATTCTTTGTTCAAAAACTGAGAAAAGAATGAGTAAGAATGAGGGTCCAGGAAATAAAAAATGACAATAGAAAGAATGCAAAAGTAACACAAAAGCATATCCCAGAAAAAGGAAGGAACCTGTGATTCTGGATAAGAGTGTGTTTAGGAAAGAAAAGCTAATAATACCTTGAGTTGTCATAAAAAAGATAAATAAGTCCTTTGAGATCAACAGCTCACAAACTGTCCACTAAGGCTGAAGGGTAAGCATGAGGTTTGTCATATTGTGTCATATCAAATCAGAGTTTGGCTTGTCTCACCCGGGTTGAGGGCCTGAGTCATTTCAACAATCCTCCTCAGAACTTTCAAGTGCAGCTTCTCAAGCAGGAGACTCACCAGTCTACCAGGTCATGCTTAATTTTGCTGGATGGGATCTCAAAATTCAACCCATAAGATGCCAAATGGAGAGGGTCCTTTGTAGCTTGGATCTAAAAACATTAATCCTGGAAATGGGAAAGTAGTATTTTTATTTTGACTTTGCATTTAAAGATAAGATTGACTAAATCAGAATTTCAGTGAAATCCTAAATAAAGGTGAAAGTTGATGCCTGGTTACAACAGCCGCTGGACCATGTGTAACATCATTTCAGGTGGGGGCAAAAGATGTGATGTGTGAAAATATAGTAAAGGCACCATCAGAGAATCACTTGAAGAACCCTTTGAAATTATAACTTAATTAGGCCTCTTGGAAGAGAATGCCTTGCCAAGTGCAAGTATTCATTCATCATAATCTGAAATATCATTTTCTTATCTTTATTATTCTAATGTATTTATTGAGAAGAAGCTGTGTAATTCTTGTTGTCAGTTAAGAAAAAAGGTGAAACACCATATGGTGGAAAGAATTAGTAGAGTGCTAGACCTTTCTCTGCCATTGAAGTGTAAACCTGGGCAATTCATGATCTGTCCAGTAACAGTTCCCCCATGAATAAAATTTTTCTTTAAATACCCTCTTCTCATATTCCTCCCCAATCTCCTGTTTATTCATTTGAGGGTGGCTTACCCTAGACTGTGATCAGGAAATTCAGGTACTAGTTCTTGGTAGCCTTTGATTTGCACATGTGCCCAACATCACTGGGTTTCCACTCCTGACAACACTGTTTACCTTCTAGAAACTCCCTCTTTCTGTAGGGTGCAGCATGTTGTCCAGAGAGCTACTGGAGAAATGGAGGCAGATGAAATCCTTCCTCCTTTTTGTCATCTAGGTCCTTCAAATAAAACCAACACCAAAATATACAGGTCAAAGGAACTGTTTTATTGAAGGACTGGGATGCATTAAAAGGATAATTATTATATAGGAGGGCAAGAGTCAACATTATACATTGAATAATATATATTTTTTAAGTAAGTACTGCTCAGGGAGAAAGTACCATTCATGAGTGCATCCTCCTGCTTTATCCTGGCTTCCCAGCCCTCTGGCTCTGTAGAAGAGTGGAAGTGGGAGCCAGAGAAGTGGCTTTGTGACTTAGGCATTTTCAGCAAGAGTAGAGATGAGTCTTTGAGGTCCTTTCACATTTGTAGTGGTGTAAACTGTAGTCGTGTTCATCTCTAGAGATTTTAATTCTAAATTTCGAATGGTTACGTATGTTGAATTATCATACTCACACCTCCCCAAAACAAGTCTTATTTATTCAATTATTCATGCATTCATTCATGCATGTATTCATTCATTCATCAAGT
Organism: Homo sapiens; assembly: GCF_000001405.40. Classification (NCBI taxonomy): domain Eukaryota; kingdom Metazoa; phylum Chordata; class Mammalia; order Primates; family Hominidae; genus Homo; species Homo sapiens. Next base: position 97,377,778 of record NC_000004.12, on the reverse strand, counting down.
ATTACACAAGCACCTACTGTCTGCCATGTTAATAGTGAAACTGTAAACAAGTCATTTAAGCAAGGTAATCTTTGATTGTGATTAGTATTCAAGATATTAAACAGGGAGGGAATTTGAGTTCCACTGAGGGAGTGCTACTTTAGGTAAGATGATCAAGAATGATCTCTCTGAGGAAACAATATTTGAGATAAGATTTTGTGCCATAAAATCAGGATAATAATTTTATCTACCTTGAAGATGTTTGGTGAGGAGTAAATGACATCATGTATGCAAAGTGATTACTATGTGGCTTATAGTTAACACCTAATAACTATTAGCAGTCATTATGTGTATTATTTTTATTATTAATCTTTATAACATCCTTACAAGATAGGTAGAGAATATACTATTGATCTATTTTACAGATGAGGAAACTAACTTAGAGACATTAAAAGATTTTTCGGGGCCCACACAGCTAGTAAATGGTAGAACCAGGATTTAAACCCTAATCTTTTGACTACTCTTCCAGTGTGCTTTCAGCATACAATTTCAAACCACTTGGAAGGAGCATTTCTTTATCCATGTATCCATCTCTTCATTCACATCCATCCATACATTTATGCATGCATCCATCTATCTACTTACCCATTTACCTGTATTAGTCAGGATTCTCCAGAGAAAAAGATCCAGTAGGATCTTGATCACTTTCTCTCGGGGAGATATTTATATTTAAGAATTGGCTCTCACAATTGTGGGGGCTAAAAAGTCTGAAATTTATAAGGCAGTATGGCAGGTGGAAATTTCAGCAAGAATTGATGCTGCAGTCTTAAGTCCAAAGGCAATCTGGAGACAAAATGCCCTTTTTGTTAGAGAACCTCTCAGTCTTTTCTCTTAAGGCCTGCTGTGGTCTGAATGTTTGTGCCCCTCCAAATTTATACATTGAAATCTAACTCTCAGTTTGATAGTGTTAGAAAGTGAAGACTTTGGGGAGGGAGTAGGTCACCAGGGCTCTGCCTAATTAGTCCTCTTGTAAAAGAAGCTCCAGAGAGCTAGCTAGTCTTTTTCTCATGTAAGGACATAGCTAGAAGGCACCATCTATGGAAAAGAGGGCCTTCATAAGACACAGAACCTGCCAATATCTTGATTTTGAACTTCCCAGCCTCCAGAACTATAAGAAATACATTTTTGTTGTTTATAAGCGACCTAGTCTCAGGTGTTTTGTTATAGCATTTCAAAGGAACTCAGACAGGGCCTTTAACTATTGAATAAAGCCCAACAACATTATATGTGCTTTACTCAGTCTATTGATTTAAATGTTAATCACATCTAAAAAATACCTTCACAGCAACATGTAGACTGATATTTGACCAAACAATTGGGCAACTTAGCCTACTCAATTTGATGCATAAAATTATCATGCTTTCTTTCTCTCCTTTTCTTTCTTTCTTTCTTTCTTTCGTTCTCTTTTTCTTTCTTTCTTTTCTTTCTTTCTCTTTCTTTCTTTCTTCTTTTCTTTGCTTTTTCTCCTTCTCTCGCTCTTTTTATTTATTTCTTTCTTCCTCTATCTAGGAGTGAATGCTACCATTTGTCATGAAATTTACATTAAGCTATTGAATAAATAGAAGTTCCCTATTAATTTTCACTTTCAGTTTGGGAGGCACAGGCAGACTCAGGTTCCAAGCAAGCGTTCTTCTACATACACTCTTTGATAGAATGTGCTTGTGTTCTAAATGCCATTATAAATCATATTTTATTTTAGTTGCCATGCATCACAGTGGATTTGCACCACTGTTTCAGGTATTTACTGTAACTATTTTACTTCTGTTCCTCAGTTCAACTGAACAAACCAAGTACTTTCACAAAATAATTTCCCACAAATTTCATGTAACATCACAATATTAAAGAGCCCCAACAAGAAAAAAATAGCCTTCAAAAAGAAGTTGGAAGCATATATGGGAATGATGATTCCTTGGTCATTCATTAAAAAATATAAAACAAATATTTTACAATTTTGATAAAGAAGTTGATGGTCAAGATATGTCAGTTCCATTCATTGATTCTATAATATAATACCTGTAAATTTATTGTAAGGTAACGATATCCAATGTAGACAATAATTTATGCACATAAGTATTACTTGGAATTATGGAAATGAACACAACTGAATTGTTAATAATAGACAAATGTCTAAATATAGTAGAGTATGTTTTGCAGTCCTTCAAAAGGTTTTATGGGACTTTTTAAAACACATGAAAAACTGGTTATAAATGTATGTAATTAAAGCAGAATTCTCTCTCTATATGTCTCTATCTGTAGCATCTCAGTTATGTAAAAAGTGCAGACTAGAAGGTTTTTTACTGAAAAAAATATGGTTATTATCTATAGTAGTTTCTATCTTTGGATGGAAGTAGTATGAGTGACTTTTTTCTATGTATTATCTTTATTAAAAATAACTGTTATATAGCCAGGAGTGATGGCACAAGCCTGTAGGTCCAGCTACTCAAGAGGCTGAGGCAGGAATATCACGTGAGCCCAGGAGTTCCAGAATAGAACTGGGCAAAGCAAAACTCTATCTCTAAAAAATTTAAAACGTAGAGGAAAAAATAAAAATAAAAAATAATGTTTATATTATATGAGTACACTTTTATGATAATTAAAAATAAACACAATTATCCTACAATTTAAAAATAAAAGGAAAGGAAATAAATGTAAGTATCCTAGTTCCATGTAATGAGTTTAAGTACTATATTTTGTGGCACATAATCTTCCCTTGTTTATACAATAATAAAATAAAGATACAATAGTAAATTAAGGAAAACATGGCAATATCTCTCAGTCCATTCGATTAGCTACAAAACTCTTGTAGTTTAATTTATGGGATACATTCTGGAAAAAAAAATTTCTCAAGTTTCAGATTTTACTTTTATATCCTCACACCATGAAGCTTCTCTGAAATTGATGAGTAATTTGTGTGACCATCCTTGCATTGTTTGCCTGGAATGCTCTTGCACCTTCTTTCTCATTAACTTTGGTCTGCATTTAAGCTCCTGCACAAGCCTCGAGACCTCCAGGAATTTCTCTCAGATTCCTCCAGCCCAGAGTAATCTTTCTTTCACATATTCAGCACATCATGTATTCACATTAACTGTGAGGCTTCACCCTCCCCCTAAACTCTTGAATCCATCTCAACTCTTTTCCATTAGTGGTTTTCTGTATCCATTACTCTGTCCTTCACATATGCAAGAGTGCCTTTTTCTGTAATCTGCACACAGGTTCAAGCCTCTCACTGTATGCTTTTCAACAACTTCTGGTCTTTTCAGCCAAGCTGGACTGTGCTGTCTCCATTTACTTCTTCTTCAAGTCATAGGGGTCAAGCTTTAACCCTATGACACAAGCTACCCATAACCTTTAATTCTTAAATGCAATTTACAGTTTTCAGTGTTTTTTATGTGACTTTCATGTGGTAATTGACATTGTTAGCTGCCACTTTGGGAAAAGCTTTTCCTTTGCCTGATACCCCACTTTCTCCTTATTTTCCTTCTACTTTTTAGCTTGTTCTTTATGTCAATCTTCTTTGCAGGATTGTCTGTCTATTCCTTCTCATTTGGAGTTACTGTTTTTCAGGATTATGGATTGATTTTCTTCTTCATCTTCCATTTATCTAATCTATTTTCTCAGGGTGATTTCATCTACTCCTAGGCTTCAACTAGAATCAACATAATATTGACCCTCAACTATTAATAAATAAGTCACAATGTAGTTTTTCTTGTTTCTGAGTTTTATGCTTATCTCTCTATCTACTTTATGAAGATGCACACTTGAATTTTCCAGATACCTAAAATACCACATAATAAAACTGAACTAATTATAAGACCACTTTTACATGTCCATTTGGACTGCTGTAGCAAAATATAAGCTATGATGCTTTTAAACAACAGACTTTTATTTCTCACACTTCTTGAGGCTGGGCTGTCCAAGAACAAGGCACTGTCAGATCTACTGTCTGGTGAGGGCCCATTTCCTGGTTCATAGATGGAGACTTCTTACTGTGTCCTTGCGGAAGGAAGGGAGCTTTCTCAGGCACTTTTTATGATGGCACTAATGCCATTCATGAGGACTCCACTGTCATGACCCAATCACCTTCTAAAAGTCCCACCACCTAATACCATCACCTTGAGGGCTAGGATTCCAACACATACATTTTTAGGGAAAGAAAACTTTCAATCTGTAGCCACCACCTCCAACAACAACTTAGTCACCTTTTGGTGTGTGTGTGGGTGCACATGTTTTATGGTTGATACCATCACCTTATCACTGAGAAATAAAATCCTTGTATTATTTTCAATTTCTACCCTTTTCTTCACTGCCGTTGGCCTGCTTCCATAAAATCAATTATGGACTCATCATTTAGCAAATTATTGCAATAAACTTCTAACTTGTTTCCTTGCCTCTATTCCACTCCCATCTAATTGTCTTCCACATTAAAGCCAGTCTTTTTCTATTTTTAACAATTATTGTTCCTGTTAACCCTTTACTTGGCTTCCTTTATTGAACTTTTCTATAGCTTTATAAAGGTCAATGGGTTTAACTCTTGACTTATGGCCAGATACTGCCTGATATGATTTGGCTATGTCCCCACCCAAATCTCACCTTGAATTGTAATAATCTCCATGTCTCAAGAGCAGGGCCAGGTGGAGATAATTGAATCATGGGGGTAGTTTCTCCCATACTGTTCTCATGGTAGTGAATAAGTCTTATAAGATCTGATGGTTTTATAAATGACAGTTTCCTTGCCACGATGTAAGATGTCCCTTTGCTCTTCCTTCATCTTTCACCATGATTGTGAGGCCTCCCCCACCATGTGGAACTGTGAGTCCGTTAAACCTCTTTTCTTTATAAATTACCCAGTCTCAGGTACATCTTTATTAGCAGCATGAGAAAAGACTAATACACTGCCCTGCTATTTTCTATAGTTGTCCGACTTTGTCTTTTAATCTGTGCATCTACTACTTCTTTTCTTCAAATATACCATACTTTATTCTGTCTCTCCAAAATATGCATCCTGTCATGATATTCCTATAACATTGCTATGTTTCTTTCTCAGAAATAACCTTATGTAAAAAGCTTTCCTGAAACACCTATCCAGAAAGAACTAGTGATTTTAAGATGTTTCTGTACTTGTTCATCTTTTTTCACCATCTTTATTAGAATTAATTATAAATTATAAATGTAATTATATATAATTCTAACATAATTATAAGATTCCTGAAAATAGTGTGATCCTAATTTTTCCTTTGAATACCCTATAAAATATAGTACAAGGGTGAAATATGGGTACTGCTCAATGAATATTTAATTCATGAGTTTCACAACTCAGAACTCCCTTTAGTGGACCACATGAGTCTGCTTCACAGTTATTCGGTTCATTTGTCTATAATTCAGCAAGTATCTATAGCAACAAATAAAGGTCATTGTGTTTTACTGTTGGTTTATGGCTTGGGACTGCCATGCTATTTTCATGTTATCTGTTTTAAGGAGAATAAACATAAGAGGGCTTTTTTACAAAAACAAACAAACAAACAAATATGCATTTCATCTTATGGGAATTTTGAGACTGGAGATTTTTCTTTCAAAATGTATTGCTAGCCCGAAGAAAAATGATAAAGCTGGTGATTTGCTTTGGGGACACTACCACTCTACTCTTACAGCATTTTCCCCCACTCTTTACAATCTCATTCTTCCACCTACATCTCCAGAGTACATAATGCCCACCAGGGCTCCTCATGAAACCCTAACTTGGAAAATTGTCTCAGGTTACTATCTTTTCTTGAAACTCCTATTCTTTCACAATGTGATTGTAGGTTGCTTTTACTAATCTAATAGAATAAATAGCATTAGGTATGGGTGATTAAAAACATTTGATACATTACCAATCACAGGTGCATTTGAATTTTAAAAGACTTCTCCGGAGATATGTGGTTTTTCATTGTATTATTCTAATGGTAGAATTTAAGTTGCTTGTGGTGGGAGAGTGGAAGTACTAGGGCAATTCTAGCATGTAGATAACCAGTTATCTCCTTTGTCACACAGTATTTGAATAGGCACTGGAATTTGTCAAAACTGGAGGGTAAAAGCTCTGTATTAGTCTGTTCTCACACTGCTGATGAAGACATACCTGAGACTGGGCACTTTACAAAAGACAGTGGTTTAAGGGACTTATAGCTCCACATGGCTGGAGAGGCCTCACAATCATGCTGGAAGGCAAGGAGGAGAAAGTCACATCTTACATGGGTGGCAGCAGGTAAAGAGAGAGAGAGAGCTTGTGCAGGGAATCTCCCATTTTTAAAACCATCAGATCTCATGAGACTTATTCACTATCACCAGAACAGCATGGGAAAGACCTGCCTCCATGATTCAATTGCCTCCCACCAGGTTCCTCCAATGACACATGGGCATTGTGGGAATTACAATTCAAAATGAGATTTGGGTGGGGACACAGCCAAACTATATCAGGCACAGTTCTCTACAAGACTGCCCTCACTTCAATTATCAGCTCCAAGTTTGGGGATTCTAGAGCCACTCTCAGTTCTGACCAGCTACCTCAGGGTTTCCCATGACCACCCTTAAGTTCAACAATTTATGGAAAAGACTTACAGAACTTACTGAAAATGCTTCTTATATCATTACAATGTTATTATAGCAACAGGATACAAACGATAACAAGAAAAAAGAAGAGATGCGTAGAACAGAGTTTGCAAGAGTTCCATTTACAAAGTCTCCATTGTCCAAAGGAATGTCTTACTCTCTCAGTATCAAAGTACAACAATGCTCAAAGAATACTGACAACCAAGGTAGTTCACACAAGCTTCAGTGTCCAGAAGTTTTGTTGACATTTCACTGGGTACACATGATTGTTGAAACGTTGGCCATGTGGATAAACTCAATCTCAAAGCCTTCCCCAGAGGAGGGGTTGATGTCACTTGGCTCAAAGCCCAAAATCCTCTAATTACGTGGGTGGTTTTTCTGACATAACTAGTCTCCATCCTGAGTAATCTCATTAGCATAAGCGATCTGAGGGCCTGCCCTGAGTCACCTCATTAGCATACACATCAATTGTGACTGGGGTCCATCATGGATAACAAAGATACCCATATCACTCAAGAAATTCCAAGAGTTAAAATGTTACCTCCCAGGAAATGGGGATGCCAGACTAATTCTTCATTACACAATGATAAATACACAAATTTAACAACTTTCTTACAGAGCAGAAAAACATTTAGCTCTTTGGATTTCTGTGTGTGAATTTTGAAATGAAATGAGAAAAAGTTGGATGGCCATAGTTTATAAAATATCTATAACCTTCATTCTCCACTACCTTTATTAAAATAGATAAAACCCAATACCATACTATTCATTTATTAGACTTCCACTTTTTTAAAAAAGGAGGAATTCCTTTCTGCTGCCAAACCATTAACATAATAATAATAATGTGAGCAATATATTTTTTGTCTGAATCAAAAGCTTGAAAAATGAAAGCATAAACTATAAGCTTAAGAATCAATGAGAACTCAAAATTGATCAAAGACTTGAATTTAATAGCTAAAACCATAAACTTTTCAGACAAAAACTTAGAGGGATAATCTTCATGTCCCTGGATTTGGTAATGAGTTTTCAGATATAATACCAAAAGTACAGGCAACAACAACAAAAGTAGATTAATTGAACTTATTTAAAAATTTTTGTGCATCAAAGATTATTATCAAGAGAGTAAAAAGACAACCCATAGAATGATAGAAAAATTTTGCAAATCATATATCTAATATTGGTTTAATATTGAGAATAAATGACTCATACCCTTCCAAAACAAAAACAAATCAACCCAATTAAAATGAGGAAAGGATGTGAATAGACATTTCTTTAAAGAAGACATGCAAATGACCAACAAACCATTAAAAAGATATTCAAAATCATTCATTGTCTCAGTGCATTCAGGCTGCTATAACAAAATACCTTAGACTGGGTAATTTATAAACAACAGAAATTTATGGCTCACAGTTCTAGAGGCTGCAAAGTCCAAGATCAACACACCACCATATTCAGCATATAATGAGGTCTCTCAGCTTCATAGATGATCTTTTCTATGTGTCCTCATATGACAGAAGGGGTGAACAAGCTTCCTCAGGCCTCTGTTATAAGAGGACTAATCCCATTCATGACAGTAGATGCCTCATGACCTAATCACCTCCCAAAGGCCCACCTCTCAATAATGCTACATTAGTGATTAAGTTTAAACATATGAATTTGGGGGCTGGGAGGACACAGACATTCAGACCACAGAACTAATCATCCTAATCATTAGGTAAATGCAAATCAAAACTATGATGAGCTACCACTTCACACCGAGTAGGACACCTACTATTAAAAAAAAAAAAAAAACTAAAACAAAAAAACTCAGCAGAAAATAAGTATTTAAGTATCGGGAAGAATGTGGAGAAATTGGAAGCCTTGTGTATTGTTGGTAAGAATGTTGAATAATGTAACCACGGTGGAAAACAGCTCCTCAAAGTATTAAAAATATAATTTGCCACATGACCCAGCAATTCTACTTTCGAGTATATACCTGAAAGACTTGAAAGCAGGATCTCAAAGAGTTATTTGTGTGCCCATGTTTATAACAACATTATTCACAATAGCCAAAAGTGGGAGCAATCCCAGTGTCCATCTACAGATGAATGAATAAACAAAATTTGATATACACATAATGGAATGTTATTCAACAATCAAAAGGAATGAGGTTCGGATACATTCTACAACATGGATGGACTTTGAAACATCATGCTAACTGAAATAATCCAGACCTAAAAGGAAAACTATTACGTATTTCAACTTACATGAGGTATGTAGAACACGAAAATTTTTAGGGACAGAAAGTAGAATAGAAGTTACTAAAGGTGGGGTTGGGGAGGGGAAATGGGAGTTTTTGCTCAATGGGTATAGTTTCTATTTCAGATAACAAAAAATGTTATAGAAATAGATAGTGGTGATGGTCAAACAACATTGTGCATATATTTTATACCTCTGAATGGTACACTTAAAATGATTAAAAATTTAAATTTTGTATTACTGTGATTTTTTAAATGTCAGTGAATTAAACATTCAGGGTAAAGGGAGAAAAATACAAGAATGTGTCATTGTTAGACAACTAGCTATTAAAAGCATAAGGTCAAAGCTTTATAAATTTTTGTAACTATAGAGAAACTTTCAGATGGGTCTTTGTACAGGAAAGAGAGAACGTGCTATAAGAAATTATTTGCTTTTCTGCTTTGTACTTTTTACATTATGTGTAATCAAGATTGTGTGCCCTATTCTAGGCTGATCCAATTAATCGCCCCTAACTTAAAAATGTTTGTGGCTCTATACAACTGTCTGTTACTAAATTATAACTTTATCTAAAGAGTAACATGGTAGACAGAATGCTGACTCCCTAAAATGCCTACTTCCTGATTCCCAGAACCTGTGAATGTATTATGGTTATATGGCAAAAGGGATTTTGCAGACATAATTAAGGTTATAGTACTTGAGATGGGGAGGTTATCCTGGGTTATCCAGGTTTGCTCAATCTAACCACATGAACCCTTAAAAACAGAGAAATTTCTCTGCCTACAGTCAGAGATCCAGCAGAAGAGAAAGGGAGGAGATAGATGAGGCAGAGAAATTTGAAATGTGAGAAGGGCTTGAGTCATTGTTGCTTGCTTTGAAGATGGAGGAAGGTGGCAATGAGCCAAGGAATGTAGTCAGCCTCTAGAAACAGAATGACCTTCATTCAACATCCAGCAAAGTAACAGGAGAGAGCCTCAGTACCTCAGTAGCACAACTCCATGGAACTGAACTCTGTCAAAAGATTGGATTCTAAGTGATCAGGGAAATGGATTCTCCCCAAGAACCTCCAGAACAAATAAAGCCCTGATGGCACGTTGATTTTGGCCTTGTGGGACCCAGAGCAAAGAAACCAGCCAAACCTACTGATTTTTAACCTTTAGAACTGGGCAATAATTTTATGTTGTTATAAGGTACTAAGTTTGTGATATTTGTTATGGCAGTGATAAAAACTATACAGACAATATCTGGAAACACTGCAGTGCTTGTCAATGCATCTGGCTAAATTTCTCCCAAACATTATTCAAAATGCAATAGCAACCAAAAGAATTCCATTACCAAACATATTCACCTTCCTTTCAGGTGGCTCTCTGACATTTAATAGTTTCTGAAATTAAGCAACATGACCCCAAAGTCTCTGAAATTCAGTACCTTTTCCCTGAGTATATCTTGACTTTTTATAAAGGGCACTCAAAAAAATCAAGGGACAACAAGAAAAATAAAAGAACATTGTTATTTTTTTTTCCTGGCAAGTTAGCAAAATCTCAATTCAAATATTGCATATTTGATGTTGAATAATAATGACTCAGGAGATGATTTCTCACTTGCAGAATAAAAAATACTTTAACTTGAAGAAAGGAAAACTTCTATCTGTACACTTTACAAGATGACACTCTGAACACTATTCGTTTTGGGATTTGCTCCAAGTCTCAAGGTCAAGACAGCTAAGGTAATCCCAGAGGTCTAGAGTATACATTTCAAGAGAGGAGAATTCACACAGATATGATTCAGATGCAAGTGAAATGAAATAAAGATTTTTTTTTACTTTCTGAAATATTGCTGACAATCCGGTTTCACATCCAGAATATTAGTTTTATTCTACTCCATAACAAGTTTCTATAAACTTAGTGGATAAAACAACACACATTTCTTACCTCTTATTGTCCGTAAGTCAGGAGTCTCCAGTCACAACTTGGCTGGGTTCTCTGCTCATTTTTGCAGGGTTTCAACCGAGCTGCATTTTCATCTGGAGGCTTAGCTGGGAAAGCATCAGATTTCAAGCTCAATCAGGTGGTTGCAGAATTCATTTCACTGTAGCTGTGGACTGAGGACCCTGACTTTTTTCTGCCTGTCAGTTTTCAGCTGGAGGCTGCCCTCAGGTCTTACAGGCCACCAGCAGTTCTTTGCCATGTGGACTTTTTCAACATAGTTGCTTACTTCATTGAACCAGCAAGGAGAAGCTCTAAAGCAGTCGACTAGCAAGATTTATATAATGTGATGTAATCATAGGAGTGGCATCCTATCACTTTTTCATATACTATTAGGCACAAGTCACACAGGTGCCACCTACACTCAAGGGGAGGGATTAGGCAGGAGTGTGAATATCAGCAGGCGGGTATTTTACTGTGAGGCCGGAGTCACCTTAGAGTCTGTCTGCTAGTCAAATTTCATGATTGTCTATGCTTAGAAAATTAAAAAAAACAGACCTTTGTTTCTTTTTAAAAGTTTCCTATACTCATTGAGAGACAAATATGGTAAATATTGGTTAACAGCACTTATATTGGAATATTTGCATATACCTGGGATCAAATACCAATTCTAATGTGTGATTTTGGGCTAGTTGTTCAACCGCTGTAAACCTGAACTTACTTTTATGGAAAATGCAGACAAAAATGCCTATTTACTAGTTTTTCTGTGAGAACTAAATGATAGAATACAAGTTAACATATTTAGTAAAGTGAGACAAAATTTGAGAAAAAAATGTTATTTATACTTTTTTTGTTTTTATAAAAACTTCCTTCTGATTCTCAGGCAAGAGTCAAAATGTGTATACTAGGAAAAAACAGTATCTATTTGAAACAATGTCTGTAGCATAACCCAGTCTGCCTAACAGATGAAATACATGCTCTATGGAGAGATTTTTCTGACTATACATTTCATTTTAAGTCATTATTATTCCATTAACACTAGTTTTTGAACATTTGAATTTTACAAATTTTTATTTTAAAAAATACCAAATTTATACTCAAATTTAAAATAATTCTCTCAATTTGAGTTGAACTGGATTGACTGTTTAGTAGATATACAAAAATAACCGAACATCTCAATAATTTTGAGGGGTTTATTTATTGGCCCCCGTTTAAGTAACGAGTTTGCCTGCAAGAGGCATAAAACCATCCAAGTACTTAGGATACAAACAAAGTGGCAATGGAGAGTGTTATGTTATGCCGTGTGGGCTGCATTCAGTTTCACATAAATTGTTGAAATATAAAATATGGTTCATGGTATGAGTTCATGTACCAGCTGAATTTATTTTTGTCAATTAACAGCTGCATATGCTGCTGAGATCCTTTGGCTAATATACTGCATTACTTTCATATTGCAGCATCCAATACAGATCACACCAGGCCACTGCTGTCTTGCAGAGAATAATTTTATTGTAGTCATTATTGTGATCATGGAATATTTCCTTTAGCTTTTGATTCTTGCACTTCACTCATGGTAGCCAAATAAATAGCTAGATAGGTAGGTAGGTAGATGATAGATAGATAGGTAGATAGATAGATAGATAGATAGATAGATAGATAGATAGATAGATAGTACCTGTGAGTGATTCATGCCAGATACTTTTGGCAATTGAGCTATATTGAAAGTTCCCTAGTGATAAAATTTATTAAAATGAATGTATATAAACCAGAAAAAGTATATATTAGAATTGGAGAAGAACATGGAGTCCCGATTTAATGATTTAAGTCCATTCTTGTCTATGCCTTAACTACTTTTCCTTTCTAATTCTTTGTCCATCACAACTATTATTAAGACAAATAAAATTCAGAAAGGAGATTTAGACTTGTTAAAAGATGTGGGACAGGGTCTACCACTTAACATTTTATTATTTTATGGCAATAATTTAATTCTTTTTAGCTTCAGATTCCTCCCCTGTAAAAATGAGATTGCTAAATTTCTGCCCTGACTACCATACACAGTTGTTAGAACGTTTAGAATAATAAAAACAAAATAAGGTATTCTGTGTGTCTCAATTTCTACCTAAGTATGTCTTGAGGCCTTATGGATGTAAATATATAATACCGAGAGTCTGTGGCTAAATCTGAGTTAGCCACACAAACCACAAAATTTATTTAGTTTATTAATTTTTCTATGAAAAATGCATATAACTTTAAAAATTCTACTCCTTAATACATTGCACTACCTTTAATAAAATTTTTTTTAATCCTGATACCAAAACCTGGCAGAGACACAATAAAAAAAGAAAATTTCTGGCCAATATCCCTGATGAACATCGATGCGAAAATCCTCAATAAAATACTGGCAAACCAAATCCAGCAGCACATCAAAAAGCTTATGCACCATGATCAAGTTGGCTTCATCCCTGGGATGCAAGGCTGGTTCAACATATGCAAATCAATAAACATAATCCATCACATAAACAGAACCAAAGACAAAAACCACATGATTATCTCAATAGATGCAGAAAAGGCCTTCAACAAAATTCAACAGCCCTTCATGCTAAAAACTTTCAATAAATAGGCATTGATGGACCATATCTCAAAATTGTAAGAGCTATTTATGACAAACCCACAGCCAATATCATACTGAAAGGGCAAAAGCTGGAAACATTCCCTTTGAAAACTGGCACAAGACAAGGATGCCCTCTCTCACCACTCCTATTCAACATAGTATTGGAAGTTCAGGCCAGGGCAATCAGGCAAGAGAAAGAAATAAAGTTTATTGAAATAGGAAGAGAGAAAGTCCAATTGTCTCTGTTTACAGATAACATGATTGTATATTTAGAAAACCATATCATCTCAGCCCCAAACCTCCTTAAGCTGATAAGCAACTTCAGCAAAGTCTCAGGATACAAAATCAATATGCAAAAATCACAAGCATTCCTATACACCAATAACAGACGAACAGAGAGCCAAATCATTAGTGAACTCCCATTCACAATTGCTACTAAGAGAATAAAATAGCTAGCAGTACAACTTACAAGAGATGTGAAGGACCTCTTCAAGGAGAACTACAAACTACTGCTGAAGGAAATAAGAGAGGACACAAACAAATGCAAAAACATTCCATGCTCATGGATAGGAAGAATCAGTATTGTGAAAATGGCTATACTCCCCAAAGTAATCTATAGATTCAATGCTATCTCCATCAAGCTACCATTGACTTTCTTCACAGAATTGGAAACAACTACTTTAAAGTTCATATGGACCAAAAAAAAAAACCCCTTATGGCCAAGATAATTCTAAGCAAAAAGAACAAACCTGGAGGCATCACGCTACCTGACTTCAAACTATACTACAAGGCTACAGTAACCAAAACAGCATGATACTGGTACCAAAACATATATAGAGAGCACTGGAACAGAACAGAGGTCTCAGAAATAATGCCATACATCTACAACCATCTGATCTTTGACAAACCTGACAAAAACAAGCAATGGGGAAAGGATTCCCTATTTAATAAATGGTGTTGAGAAAACTGGATAGCCATATGTAGAAAGCTGAAACTGGATCCCTTCCTCACACCTTATAAAAAATTACCTCAAGATGGATTAAAGACTTAAGCATAAGACCTAAAACCATAGAAGCCCTAGAAGACAACCTAGGCAATACCATTCAGGACATAGGCATGGGCAAAGACTTCATGACTAAAACACCAAAAGCAATGGCAACAAAAGCCAAAATAGACAATTGAGATATAATTAAATGAAAGAGCTTCTGCACAACAAAATAATCTTTCGTCAGATGCAGGGGTTCGTCCTGCAGACCCTGGCCCAATGATGGATGAATAATGTACAATGACATGTAGATATTCTGCTTTGCCAGTCCAGCTGAGTGATCCGGCCAATTAGTAGCAGCCATGGCCATGGCAAGTCTCTCAGTCAGTGAGACTTGCATTTATTTAGTAAAGATTAATTGACAAAAGTCATGAGTAAACATCACTAGAGTGTAATTGACATTGCGGACCTCCTGAGTAGAAAGTAATTAAACACCCGCAGTAGATCAAAGGTTAGTCTTAGGACCACATGAGTAAACAAGCTAGTTAGGTAAACTATTCTGCCTTCCTTTGTACTAATTTTAAGCTATTTACTTAAGTTAAGGATCAGGTTGCCTTCAGCCATAACCCTTACTAAAGCTATGCAAACTTCTTGGCCTTCCAAGGTTTGTGGCTATTACTATAACTATCTTTTATATTTTTCCCATCAGCCTGATTGAACACCCACAATCGGAGTGACCAGGCATCCTACAGAATGAGAGAAAATTTTTGCAATCTATCCATCTGACAAAGGGCTAATATCCAGAATCTACAAAAGCTTAAATTTACAAGAAAATAAAAAAACAAGCCCACCAAAAACTGTGTGAAGGATATGAACAGACACTTCTCAAAAGACATTTATGAAGCCAGCAAATATATGAAAAAAAGCTCATCATCATTGGTCTTTAGAGAAATGCAAATCAAAACCACAATGAGATATCACTCACGCCAGTTAGAATGGTGATCAATAGAAAGTCAGGAAACAACAGATTCTGGAAAGGATGTGGAGAAATAGGAATGCTTTTACACTGTTGGTGGGAGTGTAAATTAGTTCAACCATTGTGGAAGACAGTGTGGTGATTCCTCAAGGATCTAGAACCAGAAATACCATTTGACCCAGCAATCCAATTACTGGGTATATACCCAAAGGATTATAAATCATTCTACTATAAAGACACATACACATGTATGTTTATTGTGGCACTGTTCACAATAGCAAAGACTTGGAACCAACCAAATGCCCATCAATGATAGACTGGATAAAGAAAATGTGGTACATATACACCATGGAATACTATGCATCCATAAAAAAGGATGAGTTCATGTCCTTTGTGGGGACATGGATGAAGCTGGAAACCATCACTCTCAGCAGACTAACACAAGAACAGAAAACCAAACACTGCATGTTCTCACTCAGAAGTGGGAGATGAACAATGAGAACACATGGACACAGGGAGAGGAACATCACACACCAGGGTCTGTCAGGGGGTGGGGGGCTAGGCGAGGGATAGCATTAGGAGAAATACCTAATGTAGATGATGGGTTGATGGATGCAGCAGTCCACCATAGCACATGTGTATCTATGTAACAACCCTATACATTCTGCACATGTACCCCAGAACTTAAAGTATAATAATAAAAAAATTGTTTTATATTCACTTTTGAGTAAAATTGATGTCCTGAAAAGATTTGGTTTGACTTTAAGAATTTTATGTCATATAACTGCTTTGTAAATACAACTGCTTTATAAATTGTAAATATTTTACATATCTGTATTCTTATAAATAATAAGGAAGGATAGCATTGAATGTTTCTGTGAAATATGCTAATGATATTTTTATTTTTTAATAAAATAATATGCATGGATGAGATTCAGGAAAGCTAAAAATATGTGATAGAGAGATAAATAGGAACATCCTGTGATGCTACTCCAAGTAGACAAAGTAGTTATTAGCAACAAACAGAGGAATATCTTAAAAATTATAAATCAGAACCTTATGAAATAAATGTCTTCTTAGCAAGGTAATGGCAAATGCTTCATGTATCACATTGTGTAATAGCTTAGACATCACCTTATGAAATGCAGTCAGCTTTTTCTCTGATCATGACAAAGTAATTGTCAGGGGCAATTCAGTGGCAATTTAAATAATCTAGTTTTATCAACAGTAATCATGGATATTTCTAAGACCCATGGATATATTAGCCACCTTAATTTGACACTCAGAATGAGGGATTTGTTCAAGCTACAACATGATTTATTTTATTTGGTAACTCATAGGATTAGCCATGACTTCTATAAGCAGCCCTATGAAATAACTAAGACTCCATTGCTTTCCAAATGTACATATTTGTCCAGACTTCTTCACCCAAGAAAATCTTAGGTTAGTGAATATTTAAATGTCACCATTTGAATGAGCTCCATAGGGCTTATTTGCATTTCAGAAAGATTGAAGAAATCATACAAGGCCATCTGGAACACATATGAGGTCATGTATCCTTAACTTCCTACTCCACATTTACCATAGCTGTAACATAGTGCTAGTTTTATAAAAATGGGTTTCTGAGGAAGCAGAATCATTTGATATATGACACAATAAATAGAGGAGAGAACATAAATATGAAATGGAGAAAATTTACAAGGTGACTATACTCTTTCAATTTTTATGATTCTACATTATATCATTACAATTCAATTCAGCTGTTCATTCTTTTAAAGTTGGTTAAACTGCTCCATTTAAGGATTTATGTACTAGATTCCTTACAAATATGGAACATAATTATCTATGAATTATATTCTGAATATGGCACTTCTGAATCATTGTCACTTGGACCTCAGAGATAGAAATGGAAGGTTACATTTATGTTTGCTTGAGCTTACTGCATCTAACAGATGATTTTTATAAAACATGGTCAAAAAATTCTATCCAGTTATCTTGTTGAAATAAAAACTAAGTGTAACATGTGTTTTCTCATTTTCTAATTATTTGTCCCTATCCTTAGCCAGTTACTGAAACTGGTAGATACATCAACACTAAATATACAATCTCTTTTCCAAACATATTTCCAACTCAATTAAAGTAATGCAAATGTAAATGGCTCCAATGATTGTATTTATTCTCTTCAGCAATTTAAATCTCTATTACATAAATCTGGACATTGAAAAATGTAGCCTGCATGTCCAGATACTGTTAAAGTATTCCCTTTCTAATTCATATATTAGCTGGGAGAAGGGGGCTGTGAAAGCAGTTTGGTTGTGACAAGATTGCCAGAAACTCACCAATACAAAACAAGGAGGTTTCTGAAGATATTTTTACAGTGAGACTGGTAGGTAGAGAAAGTGAAACAACAAAAATAGACCGATAGTGGTTTATTTTCACTATCTGTTAATCCATTTGATGGGCAAATTGTAGCTATACTCCCCAGATGTTCTTAAATAAGTATTTTTTTCTTCCTTTCTTTATTTCCTTTTTGACTCAGATATCTTCCCAGGTTACTACCATCATTCTATGGGTAATGCGTTCATTAATTTAAGAAATATTTGTTGTGTATCAACTATGTGCTGCCCACCTGTATTAGCTAGGCACTATGTGCAGGCCATCTCTATTAGAATAAAACAGACAAAAATACCTGCCTTCATGAAGCATATATGGGTGGAAGTGGGATGCTGGATAATAAAATAACTAAATAAGTGCTAGGGAGGAAATTAAAGCAGAGAGGGGGATTAGGAAATTTCAGTATGGAATGGGGGTTGCAATTTTGGTTAGGGTATCCAGGGAGGTCTCAATGAGAAGGGGACACTTGAGGGGGGATCAAGAGGAGGAATAGGGGGAGCCAGGTGGCTGTGAGGAGAAAGAACCCCAAGGCACAGTATAAATGCCCTCAAGCTAGATCATGCTGCTTCAGTAATGGCAATGAGAGTGATGCATTAGAGCAGAGTGAGCTAGAATGAGGTGAATAGGAGATGAAGCCCTAGAGGTGATGGGAGAGGGCAAATCACAAAGAGACTTGGGGGCCTTGTGAGGGCTTTGGCTTTTAATCTGAGTGAGGTGGGAAATCAGTGCAGAGTTTTGAACAGTGATGAGGTACTTGATTTAGGTTTGAACAAGATCATTCATGTGTCTTTTTGGGGAAGAGAATAAGAAGAGAGTAAGGACAGAAACTGGGAGACCATGTTTCAGGTAAAAGGTAGGTGATAACAATGGAGGGAGAGGCAAGAGGTCAGATTCTGGACATATTTTAAGAGTAAAGCCAACAGGATTTAGTAACAGATGAGATATGAATATGAAAGAAACAAAAAGAAAAAAAAAAGGTGACTCTCAGGATTTTGGCTGAGCCCTTGGGGAAAATAGAACTAATAAACTGTGAGAGGAACAGATCTAGGAGAAACTCTCTCGGGAGCCCAGTTTTGGACATGAAAGGTTTGAGATGTGTACTACATATCTGAGTGAAGAGAATAAAGAGCTGGTTAGATATATGTCTGGAATTCAAGGGAATGATCTAGACTAGATATAGAAGGCTGGAAGACATGAACTTAAAAATGGTATTTAATCCACTGAACTGTATTGGACTACCTCAAGAGTGAGTGTATAGTGACAAGAAGTCCATGGATGGATTATACTCCCTGTTTGACTTTGGTGTGCTGTCTTTTGTTTCTTGAATGTTTTGCATCCTTTAGTTTGATTATTTTGGGGATGGGAGGGGATGGTAATATGAGCATGCTTTTTATTACTTATTTTTAGGCTGACAGTGCTAAAATATCATTTGGAACCTGATTGTAACATATATTATATTGATATTTAATTGGGAGTTATATATATCTATATAAAACTCCCAATTAAATATTTATTCCCAATTAAATATTTCTCTTTACTCTCTAATGTATAGAAAGAGACAGTACACATTTTAATAACCTAGTAAAAATTACCATAATACATATTACTATCATAACTCATAATACATATGATTGTCATGTGTATTCAAGACCTTATATCTTTCCCTGGGGGAAAGGAGGAGAGGAAGGTAGGCAAGGAGGCAGAAACATTTATGTGATAATAAATCTAGTCCCTATCACATTTTTCCCTAATCATTTTTTGAAAATGTATGCAGAGAGGCTGATATGGCTTGGTTCTGTGTTCCCACCCAAATCTCATTTTGATTTATACTCCCATAATTCCCACATGTTGTGGAGGGATGTGGTGGGACATAATTTGAATCGTGGGGGTTTTTTCCCCTATACTGTTCTGGTGGTAGTGAATAAGTCTCACAAGTTCTGATGGGTTTCTCAGGTGTTTCTGCTTTCGCTTCTTCCTTATTTTCTCTTGCTGCCACCATGTAAGACATGCCTTTTGCCTCCCGCTGTGGTTCTGAGGCCTCCCCAGCTATAAGGAACTGTAAGTCCAATTACACCTCTTTTTTTCCCCCGCGAGTCTCAGGTATGCCTTTATCAGCAATGTGAAAACAGACTAATACAGTAAATTGGTACCAGTAGAGTAGGGTGTTGCTGAAAAGATACCTGAAAATGTGGAAGCAACTTTGGAACTGGTAACAAGCAGAGGTTGGAAGAATTTGGAGGGCTCAAAAGAAGACAGGAAAATGTGGGAAGGTTTGGAACTTTCTAGAGACTTGTTGAATGGCTTTGACAAAATTGCTGATAGTGATATGAACAATAAGGTCTAGGCTGAGGTGGTCTCGGATGGAAATGAGAAGCTTGTTGGGAAATGGAGCAAAGGTGACTCTTGTTATGCTTTAGCAAAAAGACTGGTGGCATTTTGCCCCTGCCCTAGAGATTCATGGAACTTTGAACTTGAGAGAGATGATTTAGGGTATATGGCAGAAGAGATTTCTAAGCAGCAAAGCATTCAAGAGGTGACTTGGGTGCTGTTAAAAGCATTCAGTTGTAAAAGGGAAACAGAGCATAAAAGCTTGGAAAATTTGCAGCCTGACAATGTGATAGAAAAGAAAAGCCTATTTTCTGAGGAGAAATTCAAGACAGCTGCAGTAATTTGCAAAAGTAACAATAGCTGCAGAAATTTGCATAAGTAACAAGGAGCAGAATGTTAATCCCCAAGACAATGGGGAAAATGTCTCCAGGCCATGTCAGAGGGCTTCACGACAGCCCCTCCCATCATGGCCAAGAGGCCCAAGAGAAAATGGTTTCATGGGCAGGGCCCAGGGTCCCTGTGCTGTGTGCAGTCTAGGGACTTGGTGCCCTGTGTCCCAGCTGCTCCAGCTGTGGCTGAAAGAGGCCAACATAGAGCACAGGTTGTGTCTTCAGAGGGTGCAAGCCCCAAGCCTTGGGAGTTCCATGTGGTGTTGAGCCTGCGAGTACATGGAAGTCAAGAATTGAGGTTTGGGAACCTCCATCTAGATTTCAGAAGATCTGTGGAAATGTCTGAATGCCCAGGCAGAAGTTTGCTGCAGGGGCAGAGCTCTCATGGAGAACCTCAAAGGGAAATATAGGGTTGGAGCCCCCACACAGAGTCCCTACTGGGACACCACCTAGTGGAGCTGTGAGAAGAGGGCCACTGTCCTCTGTCCTCCAGACCCCAGAATGGTAGATTCACTGACAGCTTGCACTGTGTACCTAGAAAAGCCACAGACATTCAATGCCAGCCTATGAAAGCAGCGAGGAGGGAGGCTGTACCCTGCAAAGCCACAGGAGTGGAGCTGTCCAGGACCATTGGAACCCACCTCTTGCATTGGCATAACCCAGATGTCATACATGGCATCAAAAAAGAACATTTTGGAGCTTTAAGATATGACTGCCCTGCTGGATCTTAGACTTGCATGGGGCCAGTAGCCCCTTAGTTTTGGCCAACCTCTCCCATTTGGAATGGCTGTATTTATACAATGCCTGTATCCAGTGTATCTAGGAAGTAACTAACTTGCTTTTGATTTTATGGGCTTATAGGTGGAAGGGACTTGCTTTGTCTCAGATGAGACTTTGGACTGTGGACTTTTGAGTTAATGCTGAAATGAGTTAAGACTTTGGGGGACTGTTGTGAAGGCATGATTGGTTTTGAAATGTGAGGACATGAGATTCAGAGGGGCCAGGGGTGGAATGATATGGTTTGGCTGTGTCCCCACCCAAATCTCATCTTGAATTATACTCCCATAATTCCCACGTGTTGTGGGAGGCACCCAGTGGGAGATAATTTGAATCATGGGAGTGGTTTCCCCCATACTATTCTCATGGTAGTGAATAAGTCTCATGAGATCTGATGGTTTTGTTAGGGGTTTCTGCTTTTGCATCTTCCTCATTTTCTCTTGCTGCCACCACATAAAGAAGTGCCTTTCACCTCCTACCATGATTCTGAGATGTGTCCAGCCATGTGGAACTGTAAGTCCAATTAAACCTTTTTTTCTTCCTAGTCTTAGGTATGTCTTTATCAGCAATGTGAAAACGGATTAATACAGAGGCCCAATATTTAATTGTGAATTGTCCCCCTAAAGTGCACACATCCTTTTCTTCTGGAGTAAATGTAATTTCATTCGGTCACTTCTGGAAGTGCAGCCAAGCTCAGCCTGCTTGAGGCAAATTCCTTTCTCTGGGACTTTGGAAGTGAGTGTCAGGTGGGAAGGAAGAGGGACTTTGAGTTATCAGGGTTTGATCTAGAGTACTGGAGGGCAATGTATCATCAAAAGTTCCTAATGGCCAAACACACAGACACACACAACTTTTGGGGTGTGGATTTGTATCTGCCACATGCCCATTCCTGAGAGTAGACCTGTTTTCTAAGCCACATTGCCATGCAGAAAGCAAATGACCAAGCGGAACTATTCAGGGCTGACTCTGAAAACTCCCTATTGAGGTTCCTTTTCTAGCTTTTTTTTTTTTTTTTTTTTATGGTGTCTCACTCTGTCGCCAGGCTGGAGTGCAGTGGTGCAATCTCGGCTCACTGCAGCCTCCAACTCCATGGTTCAAGTGATTCTCCTGCCTCAGTCTTCCGAGTAGCTGGGACTAAAGGTGCATGCCACCACACTCAGCTAATTTTTGCATTTTTAGTAGGGATGGGGTTTCACCATGTTTGCCAGGGTGATTTCGATCTCTTGTGATCCGCCCACCTCGGCCTCCCAAAGTGCTGGGATTACAGGCGTGAGCTACCGTGCCCAGTCTCCTTTTCTACTTTTTTACCACCCATGGGTACCTCACTTAACAGGAGTACAATTTCTTGTCCCAAGCCTGAACCATCGAGCATCCTGTGTAAGTAGTTTTCTTCACCAATGACTAGAGTTCAGATAAACCACCGGTGGCAAGAAAAACTGGATATAAAATAAAAATCTTGAATTTTTGTTTTTTGTGCTTTATCTACCATAAAAGTTTATCCACTAAGGTTATACTCTGGTTAAATTATAGGTGTTTAGACATTGTACATATTAAAATAACTATGTGAGAATTTTTACAGTAGATTTAAGATAATACTAAAAAGAGGCCTGGGGGTGTGTAATATTTTAGAATAATCTGAGAAGTTAAAAGAAAATTCAGTATTAAAAAAATGAAAATTTTCAGCTAAATGGTAATCTCATTAGGTTTTGTCCATATTAAGTGACATTAAATGGGTTTCCATGGAATTCAATAAATATTACTTTTGTGAACAAATTAATCTCCTAACACAATTTTAAAAATTTCTTTTGGAGATTTACATGAATAAAATAGCCATTTTGGTTCAGACATGGTGGCTTATCCCTGCACTTTGGGAGGCAGCGACGGGAGGATCACTTGAGCAGAGGAATTCAAGACCAGTTTGGGCAACACAGTGAGACCTTGTCTCTATTTGGAAAAAAAAAAAAATCCATTTTTTGGGATGAAGAATTTGGTACTCTTTTTCCTGAGAAGCCAAAAAAAAAAAAAAAGACACTTATCTTGAAATCTCATTTAGCCTTATGATTTTATGTATAAATTCATTTTTCTTTATTTTTTTAGCATGTCTCAGTAACTTTCTGGGAACAGATGTTGATTTGTCAGGATTTTTGTAAAGTCTCAAAATAATTTGCAAACTTGATTTCTATTTGCATTTGTTATCAGCTATGAATTTTTCATTTGTTTTCAATGCACAATTTTCTAACAAATAGGTTATTACAGAAGAAGTGATAGTCATGAGTACAGAGAAATAATATTTATTTAACTTTCTATGTCATTCCTCTAAGAATTAATAGTATTTAATATGTCAAGTATCTCAGAACCCTGCCCAATACACATACAGCAATGAAAACATTGCAAGTACTATTAATTGATAACCATCCAGGCCCCTCATGAATGAATTACTCCAGTGCCAAGATTTGACACTCAGTGGGTGTTCAATAAACATTTGTTGAAATTAAGTGAATTGATTCAATGAACTTGAATTGAGTCTCTAGTGGGTTGTTCATTTCTCTTCATAATCTGCATTTTATAAAGAAAGCAACAAATTAGCTAAGAAAATTCACAGTGTTTCTGAATTCACACATTGTAGCTCAGACGGTCATAATTAAATAGGATGGTATTCTCTTGTATTACATGTTGAGTGTACCTTATCTGAAATGCTTGGGACCAGAGTGTTTCAGATTTTGGATTTTTTCAGATTTTGGATATTTACATTACCAGTTGAGCATCTCTGTTCTGAAAACCCCAAATCTGAAATGCTCCAATGAGCATTTTCTTAGAGCATCTTGTAAGAACTCATAAAATTTTGGATTTGGGGGCATTTCAGATTTCACATCTTTGGATTAGGGATACTCAACCTATATTAAAGTTACACATAACATCTTTTGAAATAAATTCTGATATATGTAAAATATTTTATCTAGGATTCAACAAGTAAGTACAGTCATGTATTGCTTAATGACTGGAATAAGTTCTGAGAAATGTGTTGTTGGGTGATTTCATGTTTGTGTGAGTGTACTAACACAAACCTAGATGATATAGCCTGCTATACTCCTCAACTATGTGGTATAGCCTACTGCTCCTAGGCTACAAATCTGGATAGCATGTTACTGTACTGAATATTGCAGGCAATTACAATTGCCTACAGCAAGTATTTGTGTTCCTAAAATATTTAAACATAGAAAAGGCACAGTAAAAATACAGTATAAAATGTTCAAAAATGGTATCCTTTTATTGGGTACTTAGCATGAATGGACCTTGCAGGACTGAAAGTTGTTCAGGGTGACTCAGTGAGTAAGTGGTTAGTGAAAGTGAAAGGCTAGGACATTACTGTACACTACTGTAGACTTTATGAACACTGTACACTTAGGATACACTAGGTTTATTTAAAAATAAGTAATTGAGCTACAATATTATGACAGCTATGATGCCTCCATGTGATAAGAATTTTTTAGGTCCATTATAATTTTATGGGCCCAGCCTCATATATATGGTTTGTCATTGACCAAAACATCTTTACGAGGCACATGGCTGTATTAGGATAGTTCCATCTTACTTTTCCTATTTCTCTCTACTGTATATGAGTAACGGGAATGCTGTCATTGTAATCTTTTAAAATAATATTCAAATAAAATCTGATAGCCCAAATTTTATCAGTTGAAAATAAAGGAGAAAATAAAAGAAAAAATACCCTTACATGAGTTCAGAGATATATAGTCCTTTGATTACAATATTTTTATTATTATTTTTCAGTTGTTTATTGCATGTTATTCTCCTGTAGTGATTGAGGAGAAAAGTAATGCAATTAGCATTTCTTTCATTATCAGATTCTTTCAATCGTTAATAACACTTAGTTTTAGATAGCAGTTGACATATTTAGCCATATTTACATTTAGGCTTCAATTCCAGATGTATGCTTAGCACACAGTTGACATTACATAAATATTTCTTGGATCAATAAAGGGAATAGTGACCTAGCATTGATTGCTGTGCTTCTTGAGTAAAAAATGAGATAGGAAACCTTAGCAAAATAAGCAAGATAAATGTTACTCTTTGGAGCTGGATGATGTGTTTTGCAACAGTTTTTCAAAAAACAAGGAATATTCAGAATAATTTTTCTCAAAGGAGAAGGTAGACCTAGGAGAGGACCTCAGATTTCAAAACATTTTTCTCCATCTTTACAGTAGCTCACCTTACCAACAATGAAGAGAATAGAATATAGGATAAAGAAATAAGTAATTAGGTAAGATTTAATTTACCTGGTAATTTACCTATTATTGTCAAGGGAGTGTATGATCCAGGTAGACAGGCATTAACATGTACCACTTTAAATGGTAAAGTGTGTCATTATTATAATTAAGAAATATATACTTGTCTTCAATTTGGAGTACTTATATAGTGTTCAAAAAGTAAATAAAATACATTTATTATTGAACAATTAAAGGAAGTAATAAAATAATAAACCAACTAAAATTTCGCTATCTAGAAGTAACAACTGATAAAATTCTTTACATATATTTTTCTATACTTTAAATAATGCATATGTTTTAAAACTTCTTATAAAATGGTGTCATTGTGTAAGGATCACTTTAAATCTTTTTAAAAATTTAACAACGTATGAAGTCTTTTCATGTAATTAAATCAATCTACCCTATTATTGGCAATGAGTGTGTTATAGTCCATTATATGCATGTACAATGAATTATAGCACTGAATTTTATATGCTTAGGATTAATTTTTGCTAATATTAGAACATTTTAATTTTTTGCTAATAATAGAAAATTTTTAGCTAATGATAGAAACAAATTAGCTAATAACCTTGTGTATATGCTTTTCATCTTTAAAAATTTGTTTATTATGGAGACTACATGTGTAATTACTTGCATGGTTGATTCATATTTTCAAGTGTGGGAGTTGATTTTACATGCCAACTTGACCAGGTTAAGGGATGCCCAGATAGCTGGTAAAACATGATTTGTGGATGGGTCTGTGAGAGTGTTTTCAGAAGAAATTAGGTTTTAAATAAGTAGACAAAATGAAGATCACCATTAATCACATGGGTAGGCATTATTCAATCTGTTGAGGGCTCAACTACAACAGAAAGATGGAGAAAGGGCAAATTTACTTTCTCTTCTAGAGCTGGAACATCAGTTTTCTCCTGCCTTCTGACATCAGAGCTCTTGGTTCTCAAGCCTTTGGACTTGTACTAGGAGTTACACTATTGACTTCCTTGGTTCTCAGGCCTCCAGACTTGTAGTGAATTACACCATTGGCTTTCCTGTTTCTCTAGCTAGCAGATGAGATATTGTGGGACTTCCTGGCTTCCATAACTGCGTAAACCAATTCTCATAATAAATCTCCCTATATCTATATCTATATGTATCATATTGTTTCTGCTTCTCTGGAGAACCTAACACACCAAGTTTCCTTCCAGTTTGGCAATATGATTCAAGTTGGAGTTCCACATATCATGAGGTATGTTTATTGCTCAAAATCATGCAAACAGTAAATCATATCATTTAAATCTTTACATCATAAATAAAGCTATCTCATTGTTATTTTAATGTTCATTTCTATACTAGCTAGCATTTTTTGAAATCTTGCCATATGCCAGCCACCAATGCATTCATTTTGTAGTTTTCACGGAACACTGTAAGGTAAGAACTATTATTGTTTTTCTTTTATGAAAAAAGACACTGAGATTTAGAGTGCCTTAAGTACTTTGCTGTAGGTCTTTTCCCCTCCTGACCTGGCGTTCTCAACCCTATGCCGTTTGGTCTCCCCACAGAAAATAAACATTTAAAAATTTTATGTTCTGCCTGCAGGTATTTTACAAAACCTCATCCCTATTTTTAGTTGTTGCCCACTATTTTTTACTTTGATTATCGTTTTATTTTTTTCTTTCTGATTTGGAAGAATTCTTAAAATGTAAGAAAATGACTCTGTCATACCACACTTTGCTTTGCATTTGGATCTTATTTAACTTTGTGCAAAAACTCAGTACATCTAAATAATTCTGCAAGATTCCCGTAGGTTGGAAATTACTGCTTTAGATTGTTCAAAATTTGTGACTTCCAAATGAGTAAAATGCTGCTTGAGTTGACATGGTTTAATGCATGAAATCCTTTTGAAGCACCTCTTTCAACTAGGTCCTGGTTTTCAGGACATTCCAAATTACAACCCATACATTAAACAACTCTATTAATTTGTCTTTCACAATTTTTCTTCTATGAATAGTAAAAGTTCTTAGTGGCCTCTTAAATCTTTCCAGATAAAATGCACGCTATTCTTTTTCTAAAGTGCTTTAAAAAAAGCACTGGTTAAGAGTTAACACTTCATTTTGAAAAAGTCATTTCAAGCATTCATTTTTAGATCAAGGAATAATCATCATCTTTAAATTCTTTTCCATGAGACTAAAAACATGGATTATTGATATATATTTTAAGCTAGTAAAGAGATCTGCATCATTACCAGATTAGAAGTTGCATTGATGAAATGGCCCAAATGAAGGGAAAATGAGTGACAGTAAGGGTCATAAAAACTGCTTAGCCTTTGCATGAGCTCTTGAAAGCAATTTTTACATTGAATTAAGTTTTTCCTTTATTGAGTGCCACCTTAAATTTATTGGAAAGCTTCCTGAAGTTTTTCAGCAGGAGCTTTATAAAATGTATCTTTAACCCCATTTCTCCTTCTTTTCTCTAATTTAAAAACAGCTTGAGGATACTTGCCCAGTTGGTTGTCATTTTGAGAGGGCCTTTAGTGAACATTTTCTGAGCAGGAATACCCTGGCTCTGTAAGAGACAGCTGGCTCTTATTAACAAACTTTGCATTACAAAACAGGCAGACACAACACTCGTGGGGGCTTATGAGTCTATTTTCCTCTCATTCCAGGCAGGTGTTCCTCTCACAAAGGCCAGCTCCCAAGCACTTTTATTTTAACTATAAATGAATTATAGGGAACATGTGCTCTCCTTTAGAGAGTACTGACTAACCTAGAAGCATGGTTACCCAACTTTAACCACAACATGGAATGATAGACCCCTGGAGCAGAGATAAAATCAGAATCAAATACTCCTGTGAAAAGCGAAAACAAATAACAAATAAGCTGTGTGAAAAAATCCATAATAACACTATAAATACAAGAAACAGTTTATGTGTGTGTGTGTGTGTGTGTGTGTGTGTCTTTGCAAAGACTGTTGGTAAGGGTATGTAATAGAGAAATTGTCTCCATTTGTATGGCAGAATTTTAATTTAGGGAGGTGACTGAGTGACAACAAAAAGAGAGGCTAATATCATTTTTTAAAAAAGAATTTATCACTCATATTTCCTGAAAAAATGGGGGACACCAGGCATATTACATAGGGCCATCTGATGGACATCAGGATGGGGAGGAGGCAGAAGATGAGTGAGGAGAAGGCATAGGACAGAGCCTTTATTGGGATTTCTGTGGAAAGATAAGGCAGGTTTGCATAAGATTAGCTAGTTTGAATGATTCTGTCAGGCTTTGAGTGATAGTCCTGCTCTCTAGTTGCCTGATACCTGGCACTAAAAGGATATAGCGCGGAGGAAATATGGGCTTGGTGTGTGAGAGTTAGATAAGGAGATGGATGAGGCTGTAGACTCCCCATTGGTTGGTTTGTATATGAAAGACATGCTCGTGAATAAGTTTAAGAATTAGCTAGCCCTGAGAGGAGCAGTCTTTCCCAGGTCTATAAGGCTCCCAAATACCAGAGAATCAAGAATGTTTATTGCAGCATTGATTATAATAGAAGTAGTTTAAATGTTCATCCATATGGGACTCATGAAATCAGCCAACACATCTATACTAGGGCTACGAAGTGCCTAATAAAGAGGAGGAGGTCCTTTGTTATTCTACTTCTTAGTGAGGTAACCTTCTCGGAGGGGTCAGAAAACAATACCCTAAAGTAAAGGCCTCAGAAGCAAAGTTTCTCTATGACCTTCTCCTGTCCTCCTGTCTCTCACCCCTCAGTCTCCTCTGAGGATAGCCATAGAGATGAGAATCCCTCTTCCCCAAGGTGCATCATAGAAACTGGAACCTCTTTTCCCCCAAGCCAGCCATAAAGCCTAAATATATTACTCTAACCTTCCCCCACCTTTCTGGGTAACTAGCCATAAAGAATTTAAGATCCTCATTCCAGAGGGATCATATCCTATAACCAGGATAGAGGAATGTTGAACAGAGAGGAATCTGAACAGGCCTTGCTGAGTTTCCACATTCAGTCTATTAGCATTAGATCATACCCTTTTTGTCCACTTATATTTCTACATGGCTGTCCATGCATTATCAAACCTAACCATAAAAATGGATCAATCACCCTGTATCTTTAGGTCTTCATTCTGAAGCCTGCCATATCTCATAATAGTATGATCAAATAAATTTGCTTTTATCTTGTTAACCTGTCTTTTGTTAGATAGGGCTATCATCTATGACCCTTAAGATAAGGAGAAAAGGGGTCATCACCTTCTGCCTCTACACCTTGGACAATTTACCTCTTTACACTTGATTTTTCTCACATGTGCATGAGGATAATGATTGTATCTAACACACTAGTTATTGTAAAGATAAAATGAGTTAATTAATGTCAAATGTTGAAAAAGATGGCCAACATACAGCTATTATAAGCACGAGTTTATTATCTATAATATATTATAAAATATAACTTCACTGTATTAATGATGTGAATAAATCAGATTACGCACAATCTGTATATTTCTCTGTATAGTCACTTATAATTATATGCACACATAATAAATGTTTTATACACAAACATCCACACGTACATATATCTCCAATTTTGTCTGTGTATATAAACAAATCTGAGGGGATACTACTGACTGTTAAACAGTGATGGTCTGTAGGGTGACTTAAGGAGGAACTTCAGTTTCTCCTCCATATATTTCTTCTGTTTAGACATTTCTATATATGATATTTTGAGTAATTTCCACGAATTATTTTTTAAAAATGGAACAATAAGGTTATTTTGATTATAGAAACAATCTGAAGAACAATCTGAAGAACAATCTTCTAAATAAGGGAGAAAATTAAATCACGTATGCAAACATAAGCCCAATACTTACTAGTAATTTAAGAGAAAATATTGTGATCTGATATTATTCAGTAGATATAAAGTATTACAATCAGATGTTAACTCTTGATTTTTGTGTGCTTTACCAGTTTCCATCGAATATTCTTAAGGAGGTCAAATAAAATAATTTTATGCACATGAGTTTCATGGAGCTGCACTTATTTATTGAACAATGCATCATAGGCTTTTATACTGTATTATTTGCATAACATCCCAATCTTTGCATTTGTTTGTCTTGCTTGATTATAAGATGTTTGGTTAATACTAGAGAACTTATTTTTTTTTAACTACGCCAACACTCCATTACCTAAATTATGACTGTGAGCATGATTTGACTACATTAATAACATTAATTCCCAGAGTCTAACATTTCCTGTAACTTTTCTGTAATTAGAATGATAACATTTGCATTCTTGATTCCTGGAGAAACTAAATATATTTGCCCCCTCTGACTCCTGCACTAGTATAGTACACTGTTTTACTAAGGATAAAAAATAAGATGGGGAATTGCAGAGAAATTATAAAAGGATTCTCCAGATATAGCACAGAAATGAGTAGCAGAGTTGATCAAGGCTCCAAGAAGTATTCAATGAACTATCAGTGATCATGAAACCTAAAAGAACACTTTTACATCACATTAGAAAGACCAATCATTTCCTTGTGCTATTAAATGAAAGGTTATCAAATATATAGCTGTAGACTGACAACCTTGTTTCCTAGCAGCATCTGAAAGTTTGCCAGATTGATCCAGTTCTGCATTTTGACCATGGGCTATTTAAAAAGGTGTTTTTATTTTCACATATTTTGTGATGTTCTTGATATCTTATTGTTTGTAATTTTTAATTAATATTATTGTGGTCAGAAACCCTATTTTGTATTATTTTGGTCCTTTGGAATTTATTGAGACATTCTCCCAGCATACTGTCCTTCTTGGTGAATATTCTATGTATGCTTGTAAAAAAAAGGTGTGTATCTATAGCTGTTGGGTAAAATGTTCTACAAATATCAATCAGGCTAACTTAGTTGATAGTGTTGTTCAAGTCTTCTATAATGAAACTGATAATTTTATCTACTTTTCATATTAAAGAAAAGGTTCTTAAAATATCCACTAAGTGTAGATTTTGTCTATTTCTTCCTTTAGTATTCAAGTTTCAAGTTTTGCTTCATGTACTTGAAAGCTTTTTTTTTTTTTTTTTTTTTTCTAGCTCTATCGCCCAGGCTGGAGTGCAGTGGCGCGATCTTCGCTCACTTCAAGCTCAGCCTCCTGGGTTCATGCCATTCTCCTGCCTCAGCCTCCTGAGTAGCTGGGACTACAGGCACCTGCCACCGTGCCCAGATAATTTTTTTGTATTTTTAGTAGAGACAGCGTTTCACCGTGTGAGCCAGATGGTCTCGATTTCCTGACCTGGTGATCTGCCCACCTTGGCCTCTCAAAGTGCTGGGATTACAGCCGTGAGCCACTGCTCCCGGCCCAAAAGCTTTGTTTTTATACATTGTTAAGTCTTTTCGATGAATTCACATTTGTCATTTTGAAATGTCTTTAGTTCTAATGATAATCATTCTCTAGAAATATATTCTGATATTAATGAAGCCACAACATCTTCCCTGTGCTTAGTGTCTGCATAGTATATTTTTCCAAGTTTTTATTTTTACCATTTTTGTTAATATTTAAACTGTTTATTGTAAACAACATATAATTGATTTTTTCTGCCTTACCCAGTTTAACAATCTCTGCCTTTTATGTGGAGTGATTATGCTTTTTTTTTTTTTTTTTTTGATGGAGTCTTGCTCTGTCTCTAGGCTGGAGTGCAATGGTGCGATCTTGGTTCACTGCAACCTCTGCCTCCTGGGTTCAAGCGATTCTCCTGCCTCAGCCTCCCAAGTAGCTGGGACTACAGGCACACACCACCGCACCTAGCTAATTTTTGTATTTTTGCTCACGTCTGTAATCCCAGCACTTTGGGAGGCCGAGGCGGGCAGATCACGAGATCAAGAGAGCCAGATCATCCTGGCCAACATGGTGAAACCCCGCCTCTACTAAAAATATGCATTTTAAGTAAATATATTTATCAATATGTTTGAGTTTGTCTATCATCTTCATTTGTATTCTTTATTTGTCCTTTGTTTTTTGTATCCTTTTAATTTTTCTCTGTCTTCTCTTGGGTAAACCAAGTATTTTTTAGTAGGCCATTTTATCACATTCACTGGTATTATAACCATATCTCCGTATGTTGCAATATGCATCTTTAATTTACTGCAGCATACCTTCAAATATCATATTACTTCATTAACAAGGTAAAAAAGTACAACAGCATAACTCTGTCTTCTTAGTGTCATATATTTTACTTCTATATGCTAGATGTATATTGCTTTAATAAGTCAACATTCTTTTTAAAACATTTAAAAATAAATTTATACATCTATTTGTAAAAGAAAAACAATCAGGAATTGGTAACATTTGGCAGAAACCAAAAAGGGGACCAGATAGGGTAAAAATACATGTAAATATAAAATATATTTTTACTCATATTTCTTAGCATTACATATAATGAATAAATATTCTGAAGAATAATTCATAGCATTAAATATAATGCAGGCCTGCTAAGGATGAATTTGCTCACCATGTAATGGTCTGAAAATATCTTTCGTTTGCCTTGATTTTTGAAGAATATTTTCACTTGATACAGAACTTCAGTTTGACAGTTCTTGTTTCCTTTCTTTCAGCACTTTAAAGATGTCAACCAATCATACGTGGTACTCACTGTTTCCGGTGAGAGGTCAGCTACAATATTAATTCTGTGTAATCATAGAATTTTTTTTTAGTTCCAAGATTGTTTTCTTTTATATTTGATTTTCAGCAGTTTGATTATTATGAAACCAGTTATACTTTACCTTGCATTTATGCTGCTTGGAGTTTGTTGAGTCTTCTCAGACTATGAGTTGATATGGTTTATCAGTTTGGAGAAAAACCTCAGTCATAATCTTGTCAAAATAATTCTTCAGGTTCATATTCTATTTTCTCTCCTTCTGGGACAGCAATTATACATGTATTATACCATTTGCTATTGTTCAACAGATTTCAGGTGTTCCATTCTTTTTCTTCTTCTCCTTGTCCCTTTGGTTTACACTTTGGATAATTTCTATTGACAATGATCTTCAATTTTCCTTATTCTTCTGTTGCATCTGTCTGCTGTTAATTTCATAGAAAAAATCCTGACATTGTATTTTTCATTTCTAGATTTTCCATTTTTATAGTGTCTTCCTCTTTGTTAAGATTCCTCATTTGTGCGTGTAAGTTGTTTACCTTTTCTTCTGGGCATACTCCCCCTAGTTATTTTGAAGTTCCTGTCTGATAGTTCCAGCATCAGAGCAAATTCTAGTTCTGTTTCCATTGATTATTTCCTCTCTTCACCAAAGGTAACACTGCTTATTTGTTTCTTTGTGCCTTTATTTGTTTTTTCATGACACTGTATGTAATACATTAATGTAAATAATATTTATCTCCAGAAAAAGGTGACTCTTCTTTTGTCAGTGATGTGGGTTAAATCAGCCTAATCCTTATTTGACTTCCATCTAGGCATTTGTGCAGTTTTAATTAAATTCAGATCATTGCTGACTTAAAACACTTTGAAGAGCTGACTTAATATGCTTCCTTTTACCAAGGCTTGGCATCCAATCACTGGCAAGAGTCTGCTGATGTCCTTTATATTTACATCCAGCTTCCAGCTTTCTGGCATTAGGGAGTTCTAGTCCTATTATTTGGGAGATCTCTTTCTGTCCTGCCACCTGCCCTTAGACTTCAGAGGCCTGGTGCTATGTACTTGGTGAAGGGTCAGAATTTCTCAGTGGGATTTCTCTCTGTTCTCCAGCCCAGTCCCCAGCCTTTGGTATTCTACAGTGCAGTTGACAAAAGTCAAGTATCATCTTTATGAATTTATCTCATTGCTCTCTCCCCACACCCACCTTTCAGGGCATAGCTGCTTTGTCCTTGGAAAAGGTCCCAGGCACCTCAGAGAGGATGTCTCTCAGCTATCTTTTCCTGGCCTCAGGCTTAAGTATACCCCATCATGGGGAATAACTAGGGAAGGACTTGGCAAGTGGCTATGGACTGACTGTAGCTAAAGCTCCAAGTGATTCTCATCAATTATAGCAGTCTACATACTGCTGAGAACATTCATTAAAGATTAGTCAATGTTCTATATGCCTTGATCTTATCTCTGGAAAATTCCTCCTCTCATTTCTCTGTCAGGGGTGAAAGTGGCTGTCCAAGCGCACATAACTTTCTGGATCCTTGGTTCATTTTGGTTTATTTGTGTACTCCATTCTCAAATTTAAATTTTTTTAAATGTTTTAATTTGTTTACTTTAACTTCCAGGATACATGTGCAGATTGTGCAGGTTTGCTACATAGCTATATGTATGCCATGGTGGTTTGCTGCACCTATCAACCCATCACCTAGGTTTCAAGCCCTGCGTGCTTTAGCTATTTTCCTTGATGCTCTCCCTCCCCACCCTAACCCCGCCACCAACAGGCCCTGGTGTGTGTTGTTCCCCTCCCTGTGTCTGTGTGTTCTCATTGTTCCACTCCCACTTATGAGAGAGAACATGCAATGTTTGGTTTTCTGTTCCTGTGTTAGTGTGCTAAGGATAATGGCTTCCAGCTTCATCCATGTCCTTGCAAAGAACATGATGTCATTCCTTTTTATGGCTGCATAGTATTCCATGGTGTGTATGTACCAGATTTTCTTTATCCAGTCTATTATTGGTGAACATTTGGGTTGGTTCCATGTCTTTGCTGTTGTGAATAGTGCTGCAATAAACATACATGTGCACGTATCTTTATAGTAGAATGATTTATATTCCTTTGGCTATGTACCCAGTAATGGAATTGCTGGGTCAAATGGTGTTTCTGGTTCTAGATCCTTGAGGAATTGCCACACTGCCTTCCACAATGGTTGGACTAATTTACATTCCCACAATGTAAAAGGGTTCCAATTTCTTCACAGCCTTACCAGTATCTGTTGTTTCTTGACTTTTTAATAATCAGCATTCTGACTGGCATGAGATGGTATCTCATTGTGGTTTTGATTTGCATTTCTCTACTGTTCAGTGATGTTGAGCTTTTTTTTCATATGTTTGTTGGCTGCATAAGTGTCTTCTTTTGAGAAGTGTCTGTTCATATTCTTTGCCCACTTTTAGATGGGGTTGTTTTTTTTCTTGTGAATTTGTTTAAGTTCCTTGTAAGTTCTGGATATTAGACCTTTGTCAGATATGTAGACTGCAAAAATTTTCTCCCATTCTGTAGGTTGCCTGTTCACTCTGATGATAGTTTCTTTTGCTGTGCAGAAGCTCTTTAGTTAGACTCCATTTGTCAATTTTAGCTTTTGTTGCAATTTCTTTTGGTGAATTCAACATAAAATATTTGCCCATGCCTATGTCCTGAATGGTATTGCCTAGGTTTTCTTCTAGATTTTTTATGGTTTTGGGTTTTACTTTTAAAGTCTTTAATCCATCCTGAGTTAATTTTTGTATATGGTGTAAGGAAGGGGTCCAGTTTCAGTTTTCTGCATATGGCTGGCCAGTTTTCCCAGCACCATTTATTAAATAGGGAATTATTTCCCCATTGCTTGTTTTTGTCAGGTTTGTTGATAATCAGATGGTTGTAGATGTTTGGTCTTATTTCTGATGTCTCTATCCTGTTCCATTTGTCTATTTTGGTACCAGTCTGTCTGTTCTGGTACTAGTGCCATGCTGTTTTGGTTACTGTAGCCTTGTAGTATAGTTTAAAGTCAGATAGCCTGATACCTCCAGGCTTGTTCTTTCTGCTTAGGATTGTCTTGGCTATGTAGGCTTTTTTTGGGTTCCATATGAATTTTAAAGTAGTTTTTTTTTCTAATTCTCTGAAGAATATCAATGGTAGATTGATGGGAATAGCATTGAATCTATACATTACTTTGGGCAGTATGGCCGTTTTCACAATATTGATTCTTCCTATCCACGAGGATGGAATGTTTTTCCATTTGTTTTTGTCACCTGTTATTTCCTTGAGCAGTGGTGTGTAGTTCTCCTTGAAGAGGTCCTTCATGTCCCTTGTTATTGTATTTTTAGATATTTTATTCACTTTTTGGCAATTGTGAATGGGAGTTCATTCATGATTTGGCTCTCTGCTTGCCTATTGTTGGTGTAAAGGAATGTTTGTGATTTTTTCACATTAATTTTGTGTCCTGAGACTTTGCTGAAGTTGCTTATCAGCTTAAGGAGTTTTTGGGCTGAGATGGTGGGGTTTTCTAAATGTAGGATCATGTCATCTGCAAACAGAGACAACTTGACTTCCTCTCTTCCTATTGGAATATGCTTGATTTCTTTCTCTTACCTGATTGCCTTGGCCAGGACTTCCAATACTATGTTGAATAGAAATGGTGAGAGAGGGCATCTTTTCTTGTGCCAGTTTTCAAAGGAATGCTTTCAGCTTTTGCTCATTAAGTATGATATTGACTGTGCATTTGTGATAAATAGCTCTTATTATTTTGAGATATATTCCATCAATACCTAGTTTATTGAGAGTTTTTAACATGAAGGGTGTTGAATGTTATCAAAGGCCTTTTCTGCATCTTTTGAGATAATCATGTGGTTTTTGTCATTGGTTCTGTGATGGATTACATTTACTGATTTCCGTATGTTGAACCAGCCTTGCATCCCAGGGATGAAGCCAACTTGATCATGGTGGATTTGTTTTTTGTTGTGCTGCTGAATTCAGTTTGCTGGTATTTTGTTGAGTTTTTTTACGTCGATGTTCATCAGGGACATTAGCCTGAAATTTTCTTTTTTTGTTGTCTCTCTGCTAGGTTTTGGTATCAGGATGATGCTGGCCTCATAAAATGAGTTAGGGAGGAGTCCCTCATTTTCAATTGTTTGGAACAGTTTCAGAAGGAATGGTATCAGCTTCTCTTTGTACCTCTGGTAGAATTAGGCTGTCAATCTGTCTGGTCCTGGGCTTTTTGTTTGTTAGGTTATTTATTACTGCCTAAATTTTAGAACTTGTTATTGGTCTATTCAGGGATTTGACCTCTTCCTTGTTTAGTCTTCAGTGGGTGTATGTGTCCAGGAACTTATCAATTTCTTCCAGATTTTCTGGTTTATTTGCATAGAGGTGTTTATTGTGTTCTCTGATGGTAGTTTGTATTTCTGTGGGGTCAGTGGAGATATCCATTTTGTAATTTTTTATGGTGTCTATTTGATTCTTCTCTCTTTTCAGCTCTATTAGTCTATCTAGTGGTCTATCTATTTTATTAATTTTTTCCAAAATACCAGTTCCTGGATTTATTGATTTGTTTGAAGGAATTTTTGGTCTGTATCTCCTTCAGTTTTGCCCTGATCTTAGTTATTTCTTACCTTCTGCTAGCTTTTTGATTTATTTGCTCTTGCTTCTCCTGTTCTTTTAATTGTGATATTAGGGTGTCAATTTGAGATCTTTCTAACTTTCTGATGTAGGCATTTAGTGCTATAAATTTCCCTCTTAATACCTCTTTAGCTGTGTCCCAGAGATTCTGGTATGTTGTCTCTTTGTTCTCATTGGTTTTGAAGAACTTCTTGATTTCTGCCTTAATTTCATTATTCACCCAGGAGTCATTCAGGAGCAGGTTGCTCAATTTCCATGTAGTTGTGTCGTTTTGAGTGAGTTTCTTAATCCTGAGTTCTAATTTGATGGCACTGTGGTCTAAGAGAGTGTTTGTTTTGATTTCAGTTCTTTTGCGTTTGCTAAGGAGTGTTTTACTTCCAATTATGTGGCCGATTTTAGAGTGAGTGCCATGTGGCACTGAGAACAATGTATATTCCATTGTTTGGGGGTGGAGAGTTCTATAGATATTTATTATGTCCACTTGATCCAGAGCAGAGTTCAAGTCCTGAATATCCTTGTTAATTTTCTGTCTCAGGGATATGTCTAATACTGACAGTGGGGTGTTAAATTGTCCCACTATTTTTGTGTGGGAGACTAAGTCTCTTTGTAAGCCTCTAAGAACTTCTTTTTAGAGACTTACTGGTCTGGGTGCTCCTGTATTTGGTGTATATATATTTTGGGTAATTAGCTTTTCTTCTTGAATTGATCCCTTTACCATTATGTAAGGCCCTTCTTTGTCACTTTTGATCTTTGTTGGTTTAAAGTCTGTTTTGTCAGAGACTAGGATTGCAACCCCTGCTTTTTTCTGTTTTCCATTTTCTTGGTAAATTTTCCTCCATCCCTTTATTTTAAGCCTATGTGTACCTTTGCACAAGAGATAGGTCTCTTGAATACAGCACACTGATAGGTCTTGACTCTTTATCCAGTTTTCCAGTCTGTCTTTTAGTTGGGGTATTTAGCCCATTTACATTTAAGGTTAATTTTGTTATGTGTAAATTTTATCCTATCATTATGATGCTGTGTGGTTTTTTTGTACAGTGGGATACCTCTTCTTCATAGCATCATTGGTATTTATATTTTCATTTCTTTTGCAGTAGCTGGTATAGTTTTTCCTTTCCATATTTAGTGTTTCCTTCAGGAGCTCTTGCAAGGCAGGCCTGGTGGTGAAGAATTCCCTCAGCATTTGCTTGTCTGGAGAGGATTTTATTTTTCCTTCACTTATGAAGCTTGTCTGGGTATGAAATTCTGCATTGAAAATTCTTTTCTTTAAGAATGTTGAATATTGACTCCCATTCTCTTCTGGCTCATAGGGTTTCTCCTGGGAGATATGCTGTTAGTCTTTGTAGGTACCTGGCCTTTCTTTGTAGGTGACCTGGCCCTTTGTAGGTGACCTGGCCTTTCTCTCTGGCTGCCCTTAACATTTTTTCCTTCATTTCAACCGTGGATAATCTGATGATTATGTGTCTTGGGGTTGATCTTCTCGTGGAGTATCTGAGTGGGGCTCTCTGTATTTCCTGAATTTGAATGTTGGCCTGTCTTGCTAGGTTGGGGAAGTTCTCCTGGATAATATCCTGAAGTGTATTTTCCAACTTGGTTCCATTCTCCCTGTCTCTTTCAGGTACTCCAATCAGTTGTAAGTTCTGTCTTTTTACATAGTCCCACGTTTCTCAGAGGTTTTGTTTGTTCTTTTTTCTCTAATCTTGTCTCCCTTGCTGATTTCAGCAAGATAGTCTTCCATCTCTGATACTTTCTTCTGCTTGATCAATTTGGCTATTGATACTTGTGTATGCTTCACGAAGTTCTCATGCTGTTTTTCAGCTCCATCAGGTCATTTATGTTTCTCTCTTAACTGGTTATTCTCTTTAGCAGTTCCTCTGACCTTTTATCAAGGTTCTTAGCTTCTTTACAGTGGGTTAGAACATGCTCCTTTACCTCACTGAAGTTTGTTATTTCTCACCTTCTGAAACCTACTTCTGTCCATTCATCCATCTCATCCAGTTCTACGCCCTTGCTGGAGAGGTGTTGTAATCATTTGGAGGAGTAGAGACACTCTGGCTTTATGGGTTTTCAGCATTTTTTCATTGATTCTTATTAGTCTTCATGAGTTTGTCTAGTTTTGTTCTCTGAGGCTGCTGACTCTTGGATGAGGTTTTTGTGGGGACTTTTGTTGATGCTGTTGTTGCTTTCTGTTTGTTTTTCTTTCAATAATGAAGTCCCTTTTCTGCAGGGCTGCTGCGGTTTGCTGTGCGTTCACTTCAGGCCCTTTTCATCTAGTTTGTTCCTATGCCTGGAGATGTCACTCAAGGAGGCTAGAGAGCCACAAACATGGGTGCCTACTCCTTCCTCTGGGATCTCTGGCCTCAAGGGGCAACAACCTGATGCCAGTAAGAGTGCTCCTGTATAAGATGTCTGACAACCCCTTTTGGGGAGGGTCTCACCCAGTTGGGTGGCACAAGAAGCAGGATCCATTTAACAAGGCACTTTGGCTGTCCCTTGGTGGAGGTGGTGTGCTGTGCTGGGGGAAAACTCACTCATCTGGGCTGCCTGGATTCCTGAGAGCAAGCAAGAGGAAAGACTAAGTCTTCTGGTCTGTGGAGACTAAAGCCACCCCTACCTCTAGGGGTTTAGGCCTAGGGAGATCACAGTTCTGTCCCTGAGCCCCTGGCTAGAGTTGGAGTTCCTGCTGGGAGGCCCTGCAGCCAGAATGATGGTTCCTGTCCCTCCTCCATGAAGCTCAGGTGGCTTAGACCACAGGCAGCCATAGCATTGGTGATGGCCACACCGCCCCCAAGGAACTCAGCAGGCTTAGGCTGATTCCAGCCGATTAGGTGTTGAGAAACTGCATGGCTCCATGGTTGGGACCCAAGGCCTCAGTGGTGTTGGCTCCCAAGTGGGATCTTCCAATCCGTGGGTTGCACAGTTCTGTGGAAAAAGCATGGTTTCCCAGTTTGGGTAGCACACTCACTCACTGCCTCCCTTGGCTGGGGGTGGGGGCTCCCCTGCCCTGTGTGGCCCTCAGGTGGTCCGCTGCACCACACTGCTCTTCCTTCCTCTCCGTGGGTCATGTCAGCTGCCTAGTCAGTCCTAAGGACAGAACCTGGATACCTCACTTGCTGGTGCAGGATTTGCATGCTGTTTTAGATCTTTTCAATGGGACCCTCTGTTTGCCACTGCTTCTAGTTGACCATCTTGGCCCTGCCTCCATTCTCTATTTCTTTTAGGCTGTAGTTTTGTAGCTTGCCCAGGTTGTTTTAATTGTTTCTATTAAACGACACTCACTTGTAAGTCTCTCTGTCCTAACTCGAGTTAGTGAACTTCTGTGGACAACCTTTAAAAATTAGTAGTACTAATTTGAACTCTGGTGCTCTGGAACACTGAAATTCACAGTCAAACTCAGGAAATTGTAAGGAAAATATTAAGCATGCAAATTTATCTATTTCCAGTCTCTCTGTTTCATACCATGTTTCTTTTCCATACTCAGTGTTTGCCTTTAAAAATTCCAGTTTGTTTCTTTAGTATTTTTCTTTGTGCTGACTTCCTCAATTAATCTGAATTTACAGTTTCTTTCTTTGGGCTGGCTTTTCTTTATATAAAGACGTGACTTTTCCTGATCTTAAATCTGGGTCTTACAGTAATTCTCTTCTGTTTTAAACCCTTTTCTTGGCAATTCCATGCTATTAGATACTCAGTGCAGTTTCTACTAAGAATGTTTAATAAGATATGTTTCAAATAATACATGGATCTCTCTTCCCTGTGGATCTCTCATATAAGTATGTTGCTATGATTAATCAACATATATTTTCTCAGATGTCTTTAATTGAATTCCATCAAATCTATTCATCAAGAATAACATAAAAACGTAATCTGCTCTAGGGAGTTTCTACATATCTTATTTTTATATTTTTCTAAATTTTATTACTATGAGACTGAATGCTGATTATTTGATTTACAGATTTAAAATTTTTATTTTCAGTTTTATTGAGGTGATTAAATATCTGATTCAACACTACAAACATAGATGCTCATTTTAATCATTATACATAGTTTAAGTGTGGAATTGTTCAAATGAATATGAGAAAATGAAGGCTTCTTTTCATCCAAGTTGAAATGTGGTTATGCTGGAGAGTTCACCCCACCGTATGGATAGCCCAGATTCTAAACTGTTAGAATTAAAAGGATTTAGAGATTACACTGTGCATCACCTAAATATGTGATGCACTTACACAATTTGAAATGAAAAAAATGGGTTTGAATAAGAAAAACGTCATATAACTTTATTCAATAAAATATCACTTAGCTAATTCTTAATCTAATTAAAGATCAAAATTCAAGTATTCGGTTCTCCCATTTATCCCATTATTACCCATTTTCAGGAAGCATATAATCCAAAAATACTTAAGATTTAAAAAGAATTTAATAAAAATTGACAATTGTTCTAAATTTTAGATGTTTCAGCCTCACTGATTACTATTCAAATAGGTGTTTGAAAGTGTGTGTGTGTGTATGTGTGTGTATTTTCTTCACTTCATAGTTCTGACCTAATCAAAGAATAAGATGTCTACTTGTGATAGCATTTTTTAATTTCTTAGTTTTCAGAAGAGAGGAGACAAATCCTAATCCTCTATATCAAATAAAATATTTTGAAATGAGCAGCTCTTAGTGAAGAATGAAATTAGAGTTCCCATAGATTATGATCTGGAGAAATGTCCTAGCAAGAAAAATAGAAGTTGTTGAAACATCTGGGTTTGATTTTTGGCATAAGCAACCAAACATTGTACTCATGAGAACCAAACCTTCTCCCCAAAAAACACAACTGAAGCTGTCTGCCTTTATTAATGTGCCTCACTGGTGAATCTCCAGTGGTGATGTATCACCCTCATTTAAGGAATGATGTGCTGGAAAAATGCATTATTTTCAAGAGTAAGAGACTGGATTAATGCAAGGGTGTGCTAGATAAAAAATTCAAAACTGTCTCATGATATATGCCGACTTTTGGGTGTTCCCTATTTGCATGGCTATTTAAGCAAGCACTCTAAATGGAAATGCACTTGACATTTTTGCTACTGGATGTGATCAAACAACATTAGAATTTAGCTGATTTCTCAGAAAATGATTAAACCAATTTATTTCTCGTTTTCAATCCTTGCATGAGGAAAAAGATGAATAAAAACACACATTTATAAAATAGACCTTCTAAATGAAAAACTGCCAGGGAACAATATAAGGAGGTATGTATATATATATATTTCTTTTTTCTTTCTTTCCCTTCTGACACAATAGTCCCGGGCTGCATACATCATCAGAGGAGAATGTTGATCACCTGTTTCCAAGCCTTGGCAAGGCAATTCAGGATAAATGTTCCATAAGGTATCTTGAGACTGAATTATGCTTTCCATTAGTGTTTATGTCACAAGGACTTGTTAATACAGAAATATTCTTAAATGCTCTACAATAAATGATTCTGGCCTTGCAGTGCCTGCCTGTAGACAAGTGAGCATTGAATTCTGCCAGGGAGATAAGGGAGAACACTGTAAAAAGACGGTGTCTGCTGCACAAATCACAAGTGCTTATTACATGGCCCAGTACAAGTTAAGGCAGCATATGAAATAAGATGATGAGAGTGAATATAACTGTTAGGCCTGGTGATAGCTTTTACCTGTAAGAGAATTCCTGTTATTTTATTTAAAGGAAAATGGATCAATTACTGTTTTAGTTATCTAGTGCTGCACAATAAATTGTCACAAACTTAGTGGCTTAAAAAACCCACACATTTATTACCTGACCATTTCTGTGGTCAGGAATCAGGGCATAGGCTACCCTAAAGTATCTACCTTGATGGGGATGGGGTTACATCCAAAGTTTGACTGAGGCAGGATCCTCTTCTAGGCTTACATGTTGTTGGCAGAATTCAGTTCTTCGCTGGCTGTTAGCTGGAGGTTTCCTTTAGTTTGTTAACATGTGCCCTTTTATATGGCAGTTTGTTTCATCAAAGCCAGCAAGAGAGAGAGAGC
This sequence comes from Homo sapiens, assembly GCF_000001405.40. NCBI lineage: Eukaryota > Metazoa > Chordata > Mammalia > Primates > Hominidae > Homo > Homo sapiens. The sequence continues at coordinate 97,333,982 of NC_000004.12, read as the reverse complement.
CAATAATACAAGTCTACTGTAGTATGGAAACCTCAATCTCATGTAATGTAATAATGGAAGTAACATCCATCACCTTTGCTGAATTTTCCTGGCTAAAAGGAAGTCACAGATCCTGCCCAAACTCAAAGGAAGGGGCTTACAAAAGAGTATGAATACCAGGTGGCAGGAAACATTGGAACCCATCTTAGGAGTCTGCCCATCACAATTATTAAGCCCTAAAGTATTTCTATGTTTTTGAATCTAGTTATGTCTAAATAAGGCCATATTCCTGCAAAATTCTGTATAAATATTATAAATATTTCTCTAAAGGAGAATTTGTAGGCTTAAGGAACTCTAAATTATTCTAGACTTAACAGTCTAGAAATTAGGGAACGTATCTTTTTAATCCTTCCCCAGTTTTTGCCAGCTATATAACATGGAGATAATTCTAGCCTTCTATGCTTCAGTTTTCTACATGTAAAATAGAAAATTATGGTTATCTTGCTTACTTCACAGATATGGTCTTATAATTAAATGTTATAAACCCCTCCCAAATGCTTTGCACAAATACATTGTTTATAATATATATGCACAGGTAACCTAAACTTCTCAGGTTTCACTAGGCTGAGACCTCATATAGAATAACCTGAAGTGTTTTGATCCACAGCTTGCAAGTTCACCTCTGAGTTTTTCCTGAAATATCCCCTCTGAGTTTTTCTGTGAGTTTCCAAAGACTATCTCTCATATTCTCATAAGTATTATCAGTCAACTGCCAAATGCCATGCACAATTTCTGACTTTTTCTTCTGCTTTGGCCTCTCTCTGTGGGGTCCTGGGAACCAGCCACTTCCGGTATCTTCTCTGGGAACAATGCCCTGGAGCTTTAAAGGTGGTGGACCTGTGAGTTGAGAGTTGAAATGGGACCAAGGTAGTGCACAATCCTCCTTTTCCCTCAAGCTTAGAGCTCATTAAAAAATGACACAGAAGCTCAATAAATATACACTAAAATATCATCTTTATTGTCAGTGGAAGTGGATTAGCAAACACAGCTTGGGTTTGTGACTGTACATGGAATTTCTAGTAGCCGTTGCCTAAGTTCTGATTTTGGGAAAGTCCTTTTAGGAATAGAGTATGCAGGTTGTTTACACAGATAGGCTACAAGGGAAAATCAGCCTCATACCCACAGAGCCCTGATAGTAGGGGCAAAGAATGAGGTCCCAGGGCATGTGCCTCACTGCAACGTGGACAACTGGGTGACAGATCCTCCTCAGCTCACCCATCCAATCAATCAATCCCTTTTCCGTGGAAAGGAGGAACTAAAGGAAGGACAGACAGGCTGGAGGAAGAAACTCATATAAACATGGAATAGTATATTTCCTAATACTTTGTAGTGCTCTGAGGCAAATTTGAGGACTAATTAGTGTGTCCCTTTAAAAGGTTGGTCTAAAATTGAATGTACCAATCAGTGCTACTTTTGTCCTAGTGAAGCATTTGAGAAAAGAGTGTGTCAACTAGGGCCTAGCTCTGCCGGCCATATGTAGTAGCAACAAAACATTACTGGTATCAATGATGATGTTTACTCCCTGTGAAATGGACTGGGCCCTAGGCTAAAATGAAACCAAATAGAACCAAGATACAGCAACAGCAACAACAACTCCTTGTAAACGCAGATTTATTTCTGTTGATTTTGTAAGGTCACACACCTTAGTTGAAAGCTAGTGGTCACAGTTAACTGAAAACCTGAAAATAATAATGCATGGTATGGGGCTGTTTACGAAAAATAATTTTCATTTTTTATTATGTCTATTGTAAGTGGCTTAACATGGCTCTCAAGAAGTTTTGGAAAGTCACAACAGTACTGAAGAACAAGAACTATCGAAAAAGGAGATGGTTTGCAAACTATTTTCAAAAGACCAGGTCTGACGTAGGCAATGAAAAGAAATAACATGTGAACCTGTTTATTAAACAACATATAGAAGAAAATCTACTTCTCCTTGTTCCTGTTAAATAGGCACTGAATGGAAAAATATTTTAAATCTATTTGAAGAGGCAACAAATAAAACCAATCCAGGGAACTCTTATGTCCCACTCTGGTCTGCCTGTGTCTTGTCAAGATCTTAGTAAAGCAGACTATTTGGTTTTAATTTATGAGACATTCCACTTAGCTACATATCCAGTGGGACAATTTTAATGAGTGGCTTTCTTTGCTCTGGCCCTCCAAATAATAAGCATTGGTTAGTGTCTCTAAGTCTGAATTATTTCTAAGGAAATTTTTAGTTTCTCATAAAACTAGGTTTTTCTGCTCTGTTGTTTCCCAATTTTGACCAAGAGTACTACCAGCTTACATTCAAGCCAGGACTTCTTTGTACCCCCTTTATTTTTCTCCACTTCTCTTAAAAAAAACTTGGAAAGAGAATAGTATAAATGAGACTGAAATAAGCAGTTAGAAATAAAACGTTTTCATTCAACAGTTTTTTTTTTTTTATGGATGGGATTGAGGAAGAACTGATGTTCTGTCTGCTGTTTTGATTAGATCATTTTGCCAAACTTTCTCCCAATATGTAAACAAGTTGGGATTATCAGATGCTAAGAATTTGTCATAATTTGGCTTATTTTCTTCCTATGATGTCTATCCCATGTGTTTTGTTAGATGGTTACACAGTCACAAGGGCTCCAACAAGCTGAAGGTGGAATCTGATACAGCATTTTTCTCTTATGTGGGATGATCTTGCATTTGAAATTTAAAATGCATTATATTGCAGGTGTTGACCCCACTCCTTGCAATGCAGAGGAAACTATACCCCATGACAGGAAAGGGAGCTAAAAATGTTCCCTGCTGTGCTTATAGCTCTGTCATCACTATCCATTAGTCGTTGTAGATGGTTTTATTGGCTGCTGTGCTCCATAACTCTTCCACTAAGCAGTGCTTATCTCAAAAACAACTCAATCATCCACTTATCCATCACCCATCATGAGTCCCATTATGTCAGGGCTAGAAGAAAAATTTCTGAGTAAAATATTTCACTTTTAATATAGAACCAAAGCAAGACAACAAAGACTGTGTTTTGATCTTTCCCCAAAACCAATAGTGCTGATTGCTGATTCTAACCAGTCTCTACAACAGACGCTGTAGCAGCTAAGAATATTTATAATAACATTGGATTGTAGTCCTATTTTGTACTTCTTCCCCAAAAGTTGGCAAGGCAATTATGCCAAGAGGAAGGTCATACATGGAGTGAATAGGTTGCTTTGTCTTGGGGTTTCAGAGTTTTCCCTTATTTCTTGTCACCTAAAATCATGCATTCAAATCACTGATGTGGGCTAGGATGGCATAAGTGACTGGGTCTAAGATTATTTCTTATAAAGTCACTCTGTTTATTTGATGGATAAATGTAAATTGGACATTTAAATGAGATTGATGCAAAAGAAATAAATGTATAAAAATACCCAAAAGTTTTACTTACAAGAAACCAAAAAATCATTCTTATTTCTAATACAGATCAGAAATCAAATAATTATATTTATGTGTTATATATCCTCACTTGCAAAGCCTTGTTTTCTGAAAAGGACTCAGATGAAGACAGCAGTCATCAGAGTTGCATAACTTGTAACAGCCCTACCCTCAATTAATTCTGTTAACTTTTAGTCACTGCTGTTCTATTTCATTGGTAATGCATAGAAAGTTGTTGGATATGTTGGATAATGCATTCATGGCATAATTTTGAGTAGTTATAGGTTCTGTGAGGTTATTTCTTTATTCAAAATAGAGATAATGCTTAAAATAGGCTTATAAATCCTGGACCACTGTAAATCTTACAATAGATCATATTTATTTTGTTGCCACTGGGTACCTGACACCCAACATTTAGCACCTGAAAAAACATATGCATTTTGTAGACTCACCTTAATGTGGTTTTAGTGTGTGTGTGTGTATGTGTGCTTGTGTTTGCCCCAACCGCACACACACATACTTATATACATGTACATACACGTATATACAAACACATGTATTTTACATGTGCATTTACTAATATTATAATTAGTAATAATAACTAATTAATTAAAGACTGTGAGGCATACGGACAGTTTAACTCAAATTGCCTTCATATTTGGATTAATTTTGTGCTACTGCCACTGTTCAGAATCTCCTGATAGAAGGTACTGATGCTTATTCAGCATGCTAAAAATAGGTCAGCTATTTCTTTGTTTTTTCTTTTTTTCCTCCTCAGATATCATGGGTTTGGTTTTGTTTAATAGATTCTTTCACAAAGGTGGGATCTTGCCCTTGGTTTTTAACGAAGTCTTTTGTTAAAGTCAAGCCCAGTAATCACAAACAGTGTAGAAAGTAATGGTGTGTGATAGACATAGTTGGCTCTGCTAAGGATTTCAGTGACACTTCAGTTTTTATATTCAGCAAAAGAGAATGCTTTTAAAACCTCTCATCTGTATATCAAAGTGAGTAAAAAATAGAAAATAGTAGAGCTACAATCATAGAATTTGTAGTAGAAATATAGAGAACAAGAAAGCAATGGTCCATGATATAAAGATAAATGTGTTTTTAATATTTTTATAGAAAAAAACCTCAAGTTTCAATTTGCATCATGTATGTTTAGTACAGATAATTTCAAAGCATGTTTGCTGGTAGTGTTATCAAAATTAGCCTGTGAGAAAGGGAAGGTAATGATCGGATTGTGCAGACACCGTTTCCTTTCTCATCCTCTTCACTTCCCCACAGCAGGATTGCCAGGCACTATGTTTGACGGTTCCTTCATCCACAGTGCCCAGAAGGACAGGCAGCTCTCTTCAGGTGAGCACCTGGTATTCAGTCACTCTTCCTGACCTAATATTCCTGGGCTCACTGCTGTCACCCTGGATGCTCCCTGAGTCTGTAATCACACACAAGAATATATTGTTGTGCTTAGATTTCAAAGTCCTAATTAAAGTTCCTTAACTTTTTTGTTAATCAGTTGCAGATTTTCTTTCTAAGCCAAAAAGCTCATTAGAAAATAAGTCACACAAAGAGGATTTTGCTAACTTAACCTGTTTTTATTCGTCCTCTGAAAAACTAAAGAGAAATAAGGGAGGTGAGGGACAGGACAGATAGCACATTGGCCCCAAAGTTAAAACTTGGAGGTGAAACCTGTTTATCCTTAAATGCTCCACCAGAGGTGGTAGCCACCCAGTTACAAAGTGAGATCACAAAACAATAAGATTATTCTCTTAGATGCAGAGTGCTCAGCACCCAATGAGGGTCCTGTTGTCTCTATTTTTCTGTTAAACTATATACCCACCTTTCTATTCTCTGGATTAAAGGAATCCAGAATATTTTACTATGGCATAAAAGTTATTTTGAATTGAAGGCATTAGAGTTCCTCAAAATCCCTTATCTGTTTAAAAGCAGAAACTCCCCAAAGAACTCAAAAGATTCAATTGTCATAAGTCCCCTCCCAAACAGCAACCAGGGAAGATTGACTCTTATCACCAAAGACAAAAGATGTTGGCACCACATCTAAACAGAAATTACCACAGAACTGTCATATCTCCTCTCCGTTCTCCTAAGGGCCCATTTATCCTTCCAAAGTCATTTGTTTTCCCATAAGTCTGCCCTTTCTTTCCTTTCCTCACTTCTATGAAGTCATTTTCCCCTCATATGTGACCTTCTCCCTGTCCCCTTCACCTATTAAGTTTATAAGCCCCGAATTCTAACCAGTCTTTTTGAGTCATATTTCTTTGTGAACTACCTTAGGTACATACACAATTAAAATCTGTCTTTTATCTAGCTAATCTGTCTTTCGTACATTTAATTCACAGACCCTCAATTAAAGAACCTATTTGGGCAGAGGAAAAGATTTTCTCCCTGACAGAATTTTATGTTTAACAAATTTTAGCAAATTATTCTCTGTCAATTTTTTAGTTGGCTTCCAGTGGTCAATGTATTATATAATTTTATGTGTATATATAGCTAATATATAAAAGCATATATAGATAAAGTCATAACATATACAGGCATATGTATGTACATATTTAATTTTTATAATTTTTATATGTATTCATTCATATAAAACTTTTATTTTACATGTATTCATTCATATAAAACTATTTCTAAGGCACCCTTGAAACAAAAAGATAATCACGAAAAAAATGTGTTTGTTAAAAACAGAGGTCTCTGGTAAGAAGGAAGATTTTCTCCAAATTTTATCAAACTACAGAACCCAGTGATTCAAAAGAAGATTATATTATTATGAATGCACAGAAATACTTTAAATTCATGTTCATATTATCAAAAAATTTTTCATTTGTTGCTTTCCTTCCCTTTGTGTTTTTCATTAGTTTGATACAGAAGGGAAAGATAGAAACTTGACTTGTCTTATTTACTTGTTACTTATCATCTGTTTGCTTTAGAACCTGGGTAGCTAATTTATGGATGAAGATAAAGAGTATTAGGATAAAAGGAATCAGTGTCATTCTGATGCCAAAATCGGGAAGAGACAAACAAAAAATCGGGAAGAGACACAACAAAAAAAGAAAACTTCAGGCCAACATCCATGATGAAAATCGATGTGAAAACCCTCAGTAAAATACTGGCACACTGAATCCAGCAGCACATCAAAAAACGTATCCACCGTGATCAAGTCAGCCTCATCCCTGGGATACAAGGCTGATTCAACATATGCAAATCAATACATGTAACCCATCACATGAATAGAACCAATGACAAAAACCACATGATTATCTCAATAGATGCAGAAAAGGCCTTCAACAAAATTCAACAGTCCTTCATGTTAAAAACTTTCAATAAACTAGGTATTGAAGGAACATATCTCAAAATAATAAGAACTATTTATGACAAACCCACAGCCAATATCATATTGAATGGGCAAAAGGTGGAAGCATTCCCTTTGAAAACCAGCAAAAGACAAGGATGTGCTCTCTCGCCACTCCTATTCAACATACTATTGGAAGTTCTGGCCAGGGCAACCAGGTAAGAGAAAGAAATAAAGGGTATTCAAATAGGAAGAGAGAAATTCAAATTGTCTCTGTTTGCAGATGACATGATTTTATATTTAGAAAACCTGATCATCTCAGCCCCAAAACTTCTTGAACTGATAAGCAACTTCAGCAAAGTATCAGGATAAAAAATCAATGTGCAAAAATCACAAGCATTCCTTTACACCAACAATACACAAGCGGAGAGCCAAATCATGAATTAACTGCCATTCACAATTACTACAAAGAGAATAAAATACCTAGGAATACAGCTAACAAGGGAGGTGAAAGACCTATTCAAGGAGAACTACAAACCACTGCTCAAGGAAATCAGAGAGAACACAAACAGCTGGAAAAACATTCCATCCTTGTTGATAGGAAGAATCAATATCGTGAAAATGGCTCTACTGCCTAAAGTAATGTATAGATTCAATGCTATTTCCATCAATCTACCACTGACATTCTTCACAGAATTAGAAAAAGCTACTTTAAAATTCATATGGAACCAAAAAAGAGCCTACATAGCCAAGACAATCCTAAGCAAAAAGAACAAAGCTGGAGGCATCATGCTACCTGACTTGAAACTATACTGCAAAGGTACAGTAACCAAAACAGCATGGTATTAGTACCAAAACAGACATATAGAACAATGGAGCAGAAAAGAGCCCTCAGAAATAACAACGCACATCTACAACCATCTGATCTTTGACAAATCTCACAAAAACAAGCAATGGGGAAAGGATCTGCTATTCAGTAAATGGTGCTGGGAAAACTGGCTAGCCATATGCAGAAAACTAAAACTGGACCCCTTCCTTTCACCTTATATGAAAATTAACTCAAGATGAATTAAAGACTTATATGTAAAACCCAAAACCATAAAAACTCTAGAAGATAACCTAGGCAATACCCTTCAGAACATAGGCATGGGCAAAGACTTCATGACAAAAAGTCAAAGACTTCATGACAAATGGGATCTAATTAAACGAAAGTGCTTCTGTATGGCAAAAGAAATTATCATCAGAGTGAACAGGCAATCTACAGAATGGGAGAAAATTTTTGCAATCTACCCATTTTATAAAGATCTAAAATTCAGAATTTACAAGGAAATTAAGCATATTTACAAGAAAAAGACCAACAACCCCATCAAAAAGTGGAAGAAGGATATGAACAGACACTTCTCAAAGAAGACATTTATGCAGTCAACAAATGTGAAAAAAGCTCAACATCACTGATCATCAGAGAAATGCAAATCAAAACCACAATGAGATATCATCTCACGCCAGTCAGAATGGTGATTATTAAAAAGTCAGGAAACAATAGATGCTGGCGAGGCTGTGGAGAAATAGGAACACTTTTACACTGTTGGTGGGAATGTAAATTAGTTCAGCCATTGTAGAAGAAAACAGTGTGGTGATTCCTCAAGGGTCTGGAACCAGAAATCCCATTTGGCCCAGCAATCGCATTATGGGGTATATACCCAAAGGAATATAAATCATTCTATTCTAAGGACACATGCACATGTACGTTTATTGCAGCACTATTTACAATAGCAAAGACATGGAACCAACCCCAATGCCCATCAGTGATAGACTGGATAAAGAAAATGTTGTACATATACACCATGGAATATTATGCAGCTATAAAAATGAATGAAATCATGTTCATACACACAATCTGATATTGTGTGTATCAGTAGGGACATGGATGAAACTGGAAGCCATCATCCTCAGCAGACTAACACAGAAACAGAAAACCAAACACCACATGTTGTCACTCATAAATGGTAGTTGAACATTGAGAACACATGTACACAGAGAGGGGAACAACATATACCAGGGCCTGTTGTGGGGTAAGGGTGAGGGGAGGGAACTTAGAGGACAGGTCAATAGGTGCAGCAAACTGCCATGGCACATGTATACCTATGTAACAAGCCTGCACATTCTGTACATGTATCCCATTTTATTTTATTTTTTTAGAAGATATAAAGAAAAAAAGTATAATATCCAAGTAACACCTAGCAAAGGGCATGTGGATATGAATGCATGGAAATCTGAACTTAAAATGAAAAAATGATTGATACTGTACTATATGAAGTGTTCCTTATTCTGCAATAGTATGCTCTATAGGTGTCTTTTAAAAAAATTTAGCAAAATGTATAATTTCACTCTCTTACAGAATAGTCTTCATAATATTGTCATGTCAGTTAATGTGGTATTCAAGCCTAATTATTTCTTTCCTTCACTCTGTTACGGCTTCATCATAGTTCTATCATTATCTGTTTACTGTTTTTCTCACTAAATTAATATCCCATCAAGACAAGTGCACTTAATGCCTGTATTCCCAGAAACTAACACAAATTTTATCTGTATGCCAGCACCTAACTCTTATGTTTAGCATACAGCAGATACCCAACATATGTGTATTTAATGGACTTGTATCTGGAAGGTCCCCTCTGATCTTTGCACCTGCCTAGGTCTCAGACTTCCATTACTATTAAGTTTAAAATTATCTTTGTAATGCCTTGCCTGGTCTCATAGGCTGAATTAATCAGACGTAAACTATGCTCCCAGGGCACTCTGATGATACCACTCGTATCACATTTAAATGTAGTATTTTAAGTATTAAATATTTGTTTCCATATCTCTATACAGATAAGAACTAGATTTAATTCATTTTTATTGTTCAGAATCTGATATTGTGTGTATCACAAAAGAGTTGCTGAATAAATGAATGTGCAAAGAATAAAAGTATAACCTCCATGGCAGAACATAGAGGTTTTATTTTCCTAGTGTATAGGTTGAATTGTGTCCCTCAAAATAATGTGTTGATATCCTGACTCCTAGGACCTCAGAATATGACCTTATTTCAAAATATGGCTGTTGCAGCTATATTTAATTAATATGAGTTTATACTGGTGTAGGGTGGGCCCTTTAATCCTATATGTCTGGTGTTCTTATAAAGAAAGGAGAGACAGATACAGAGAAATGAAGGCAGAGGCAGGAATTGGGATTATGCTGCTACAAGCCAAGGGATACCTGAGGCTACCAGAAACTGGAAGGGATAAGAAATAGGACTCTAGGGGCTTTGGAGGAGCCTGGCTCTTCCAATACCTAGATTTTGGACTTCTAGCCTCCAGACTGTGACAGGACATATTTCTGTTGTCTAAAGCCACACAATTTGTGGTGCTTTGTTATGATAGTGCTATAAAACTAATACATGTAGAATATTTAAACCAACTTATTTTTAATTACTCTGGGTTAGCTCTCAAATGGAGTTAATTTAAGCAAGAGAATAAAAGTGAATGTAACATTTAAGAATTGCCTCTGTTGTGTAGCTCTCTGGTGCTAAGCATCTCCCAACATGGCATTTGACTGGAATGTTAGAGCTCCTTGAGGTGAACAAATGAAGGGAGATTTTATATATATATATATATACACACACACACACATACACACACATATATATGTATATATATATAATGCTATGTTATTTATAACATATATAGTTATGTTATTTATAACATATATGTTATAAAATGTAATGACCTTTGTTTCCAAATGTCTCAAAATGAGAAACAAACTGTCTTTAGAATTATAAAATTAGTGAAAATATTTTGGTGCATATTTATTTGGATTCTGTAGTGGAGAGGAAAACAAAATGGGAGATAATTGATTAATCTCTCCATTTATTCATTTATCTGTTCATTCATTTATTCATTATCCTGTTTCAGGGATACACCAATGAATACAACAGTCAAGATCTATTTTTATGGAGATTACATTCTATTGTAATCAAACAGAAACAGTAAAATAAAGAACAGACTGTGTGATGCTCTGAGAAAAAAACAAAGTAGGCTAAGAAGATGGAGAATATTGATGAGACATTGCTCTTTTAGTTGGGGTTGTCAGGTGAGATATCTTTCATATAGTGGCATTTGACTGGAATGAGACAATTACCCATATCAGTATATCTGTGTGTCTATATCTTTGTGTACATGTGGTTGTATAGTTATATATATTGTAAGGGGTTGAAAACAGGCCACCCCAAAATATGACATCTTGGCATATTGATTATTTTGAGTTAAAGGCACTTGAAAAACAGCAGATGCAACAAGGGCACCTTGACCTGCTTTTTATTCCTAAAAGCAGGAGATTAAACTTCCATGTAAAGGATGCTCTTCACATGGGAAGGAAGGAAGACATTCTTGTCACCAGAGATGAGGAGGCAAGGCTGAGAGAAATCTGTACAAACTAACCTTGTCAAACTAACTCTTATCTTCCTAGTCATTTTTCCACAGTTAACTGGCCGAGCCCAAGCCCCTTGTCTTGCCATATTTTCACAATTTACTGCTCTTTGTCCAATCTAGTATACAAGCTTTCAGCTCTAAATGCTTCTTTAGGTCTTCATTTTCCTTCTGAAGGCTCCCATGCACATAGAAAACTTACTAAATAAAATGTGTATGCTTTTCTCCTGATAATCTGTCATATGTTAGTTTAATTCTTAGGCCCAGCTAGAGATGCTAATAGGCTACAGAAGAAATTTTATGTCCATGACAGTATTCTAGGAATGTATATATACATATCTATACATCAGATATGTACATATGTGTTGTGTGTATGTAATCTGGAGGTGGAGTTATGGACAGAGGGAATACATCCTAAGATAGAAATGTGTTGTTGGAATAGCAGGTGCCAGTGTTGCTTAAATAATGTGAGAGAGCATGTGAAACATGTGACATGAGACCAGAGAGGTAATTGGAGACCAGATAATATGTGCTGTGTAGGTCATTATAAGAATTTGGCTTTGCCTCTGAGTCCATTGATGGGTTATAAACAGGGAAGTAATATGATCTGACGTAGGATTTCAAGACTCTTTCTGGCTACTATGGGAGGAAAAATACCATGGGGTAAGCAAGGGTAAAAGTCAACAGACTAATTTGATGAATATTGTAGTAATCTATTTGAAAAGTCATGGTGACTTGAACTCAGGTGATAGGAGAAGAGGTGGTAAAGAAATGATTGGAGTCTGAATGTGCTCTGAAAATGGCAGTTATAAGATTTGCAGAGAGAGTATGTGGGTAGACCCGAATAGAGTTTTGGCAGACTAGTAAATATCATAAACATCATGGAGAAGATAGGAAGACAGCATTCTACACATTTTAGAAGGCATGGGGGCTTAAGGACATAATGCATGCTTGAGGAATTAGAAATCTTCTGAAGAAGGAGAAGAAATGGTAAATGAGATATCAAAACTCAGTAGGCCCCAGCTTATGTTGGATAAACTTGGAGTTTATCCTGAAGGTGCTGAGGAGTCATTAAATAATTTTTGAAAGGGAGTGAGGCAGCATCATATTTATGTTTTAGGATGTTCCTGCTGACAGTAGAATGCAGAATGAACTGGAGAGAGCACAGAGTTTGAGGTTAGAGGCCACACTGGAGACTTTTGCAATATTTCATCTGAGAGATGATAGTGGAAATAACACTGGAAACAGAGAGGAGTGGGTAAGTAAAAGGTATTTAATGGGAAGAAGTGGTGGAAGGTAATAATTTGTTTGGTATAGGAGGTGGAAAAGAGTATAAAAGCAAGGACTATTTCAAATTTTCTGACTTGGGTAACTGCTGTATTGTGGTGGGACATCATTAGGATTGCCCACAAATAGCTCCTAAAAGGACATGAATAGAAAACTCATAGGGCTTGGTAGCAGAAGTATAGATCAAGAAGGATTGCTCAAGTGCTGGCACAGTAAGAATGTCAAGGCCTCGGCCGGAAGCGGTGGCTCAAGCCTGTAATCCCAGCACTTTGGGAGGCCGAGGCAGGCGGATCACGAGGTCAGGAGATCGAGACCATCCTGGCTAACACAGTGAAACCCCGTCTCTACTAAAAATACAACAAAAAAATTAGCCGGGCGTGGTGGCGGGCACCTGTAGTCCCAGCTACTCAGGAGGCTGAGGCAGGAGAATGGCATGAACCCGGGAGGCAGAGCTTGCAGTGAGCCGAGATCATGCCACTGCACTCCAGTCTGGGCGACAGAGTGAGACTCTGTCTCAAAAAAACAAACAAACAAACAAAAAAGAATGTCAAGGCCTCGAGGCCCAGGTAACACAGTAGCCTTATATGGTCTATTGTTTCAGAGTGATAAGGTAGCAACAGATAAAGAGCTAGTGATTCCATAGTTTGAGCCAGGCATGGTGTGTTCTTCCTATAATCCCAGTTACTCAGGAGGTTGAGGCAAGAGGATCACTTGAGGCCAGGAGTTTGGGCCCATAGTCCTGTTATTCTCTGACTTGGCATACTTGTTCCTCTCTATGGGTGGTCAAGAACACCAAATTTTCAGCACTCCTTCTCATGAAAGAAGGGAAGAAATAGACCGTCATGTTCACCACTTTTATCCTTTGTACTTCCTATTGTCTCTTCATGAATAGACCAGAGAAAAGTACACTTGTGCCAAGGTCAAATCGTTACCACCTCTAATCTTTCAGCTATTACGAGACTTTATAATCTGGCCTAGCTCGTCTATGGATAATAATGTGTGTGCGTGAATAATAAAGAATGAACATATTCGTATGTAGAGGGGAGAGTAAAGGGGGACTATGTGTTATCTACAAAGAGATTTCCTGGGCCTGTAATTCAAGTTTAAAACCTATGTCTGGAGCTCAAAAAAGAGGCCACACTTCAATCATAGATATGGATGCCATTAGGTGAAATAGGAGATCTCAAGAAGTGGTTAGCATAAGGAGAGAAAAAAGTCAAGGATTGATTTGAGGAAACATCAGAATTCAAGCTATGAGGGCAGAAAGAACATCCTAGAAGAGGAAACTAAGATAGATGGGAAAGCAAGGAGAGAGTGAATCTTGGAAACCAAAGGAGAAGAGATATTTTTACAGTTATAGGGAGGCCAATCGAGGTAAGGAATAAAAACTCTCCTTTGGATTTAGCAACTGGGAAATAATAGATGATGTTAGCTATAGTAACTTTGAAAGTGAAGTAGAGAAATCAGATTTCAGTGGGCTAATTAAATGGCTCTGGAGACAGAGTGTATAGCACTCTTTCTGAAATATAGGCTTTTAAGGAAAGAAGAGACTGGATGATGGCTAGAGGAGATCAAAGAAGATTCATTAAAAATGGCAGAGACTGTAGAATGTTTTATTTTATTTTTATTTCTTTATTATTATTATTATTTTGAGATGGCGTTTCACTCGCGTTCCCCAGGGTGGAGTGCAATGGCATGATCTCGGCTCACTGCAACCTCCGCCTCCTGGGTTCAAGTGATTCTCCTGCCTCAGCCTCCTGAGTAGCTGGGATTACAGGCATGCACAACCAAGCCCAGCTAATCTTGTATTTTTAGTAGAGACAGGGTTTCTCCATGTTGGTCAGGCTGGTCTCGAACTCCTGACCTCAGGTGATCTGCCTTTCTCGGCCTCCCAAAGTGCTGGGATTATAGGTGTGAGCCACTGCGCCCAGCCTAGAATGTTTCTATGTTGAAGAGAGAAGCATATCTTTGGCAAATTTGAAGAGGCATTGTTTGAACAGACTATATGTGGGATTTATTAGTCTGTTTTCTGTTGCTTTTAAAAGAATAACTGAAACTGGATAATTTATAAAGAAAAGGAATTTATTTCTTACAGTTATGGAGGTTGAGAAATCCAAGGTCAAAGCCCACATTTGGTGAGGGCCTTCTTGCTGGTGGGGCTCCTTGTAGGGTTCCAAGGCAGCACAGGGCATCGCATGGTAAGGGGGCTGAGCTTGCTAGTTCATGTTTCTTGTCCTCTTCTTAGAAAGCCACCAGTTCCACCCTCATGGCAACCCATTAATCTTTTAATCCTTTATCCATTAATCTATAAAAAAGATTAATCTATTTATGAGGGCAGAGCCCTCATGACCCTATCACTTCTTAAAGGTCCTTCGTCTCAATACTGCCACAATGGGGATTAAATTTCAACATGAGTTTTGTAGGGGACAAGTATTCAAATCATAGCATGGGATAAGCTATAGAGTGAAATAATAGATAAAGCAGATGATTACATTATTCTGAAGTTTGGATTTCACCTAGATATTTTTGTCAAAGAATATTTGCACAGGGGTGTCAAAGTGATGGTTGGGAGAGTAGTTTAAGTGATAGAATACCAAGTCTAGACTAGTAGGAGTTGAAGCCAGGAAAGGATTAACTAATTAAAAGTATCTCTCTATCTCACAAGTACTGGAAGGTTAAAGTGAGAAAATGATGTTACTACACATAGTGTGTTTTCCATTAATACTAGCTCTCTTTATTCTGAATGCTCAGAAAAAGATATAAGAATACTGAAGAATATGAGACCCCAAAATGAATCAACATTAGAGAGCTCATTATGAGCTCTAAGCAAACTAGTCTCAAATAGGACCCTGTAGAAACTGGACAGAGGAGACACAACAAAGGCAAATCAGGAATTCACAGTCTGTTCATGAACCTTAATAAAGAAAAGGGCTTGAGGAAATCCGTGGCACAATGGTCATGATTCAGACAGCTTATCAAGAGCTCATGAAATGCTGTACTTGTGAGTTCTCTTTGAATAGATACTATAAATGCTACACTCTTAGGAGAAAAAGAAGTGCTAGAAATATATCTAGTGATCTCCGAGACAAATGGAGCAGACCAACTCTGTGACTGATTTTGGCCTTATTCCTAGTTAAAGGCAGATGCCACTAAATATGGACCCATTCACAGTCCACAATGAACTCCTATGATCACGTATGTATTTCAAAATATGCTTTTAAATTTTTTTACTTATCCTTATACTTCATACTTTTATTTTTTTTTTGCATTACATTTTTTTCCAAAAAGCTTTGAAGAAGGAGCCTTTGCTGAAAGAATCTGTATTTCAAATAATTCCTCTCTATCCTCCTTCAGTTGGGTATTACTTTCCTTTCTTTGGCTGTCTTCTCCCATCCTGCTTGATGACTTGCCTCAATTCAGTGTGTGAGCTTTGCCCTTTGCACCTTTCAGGACGTCATTAGTTATTTCAAAGATTTTACACAGAATGATAGAGAAGAAGGTTATTTGAAGGGTTTGGGGCTCTGTATTTTTTTTTGGCATTGACAAATACCCATTGGTAATGAAGACTTCAAAAGCCCTTCATTAACAACTAAGAAAAGAATAGCAGGGGGCGAGTGGGGGGAAGTTAATTACCTGCAACCAAAAATCCTATTTTCACTTTAACAACCCAGGATTGCACTTTAAAGGCAATCAAATGGAGTGCTGTTTGGCAAATAGTCAGTCTTTCTGGAAATGCTGAGTGTAATTACATGCTCTCCTGTCTGTCATTAGAGACAAATTGTTTATAAATGGTTAACATATAAGTACTGTACTGTGTCTTCAACCTTTATCATAATTATATTTCCAGTATTGAACAAAATATGCCAAACTAAGAAATGGGAGCTTATTACAACACTAATTGCTTGATAATGACTTACTGCTGCTCTTAAGAAAACTTACACAATTTTTTTTTTTTTTTGCCTTCACTTTCTTTAGGGGTTTTGATATTTGCAATTCAAATATACTCAGAAGAAGTCTTCTGTGAAAATAATCACCCATCCCATGATAGTGGCTAATTTTGTTCCTAACTGGGGCTGTGAACCATTCAAACAAAAAACTTTCAACCCTGTCCAAAATCCACTGGCTGGAAAAAAACCTAGATGTCGTTAAGGTTGTCAATGCTCCCTGGTGACAGAAAACAATGAATAAAGCATTTTTGACTTTTGGGGATGTTTTGAGACGATGATGTCATCAGCTTCTCTTGCACTTCATAGCAATTTACTTCATTATATTCTAATTTAATTATTTTAATGCACATTCAGTCACTAGTTACCCTACATAAAACTAGGAAGCCCAGACAAAAGGACACTAGATTCAGACTCCTGATCGTATTATGATAATACCAATTCAGAATCTTCTGCATCTTTCAAATTGCTACTTCTGCCTATTTCATCTGAATTACTGGAGAATTATGAACAAAATAATAAGGGCATATTTTTGGTTATAGAGCATATTTTTAAGTGTAATTATCATCATTAAAATGGGATATTCCAAGGTGCAGGTATAAAATCTATTGTAGGGATATTAATAGAACCCAAATGCACATTTCTTCATTGACTGCACAATAAAATTTCTATTTATTAATAAATAATAAACCACACACAATAATTTAGCCAATAGTTATTTAGTGGTTACTACAAGCCAGGGAATGTGATAACTCCTTTTATGTATTTTCCATTTAGTTTTCCTAATAACCATATGAAATAGATATTAATCTTTTTATTTTATAAATAAAGAAACTGAGCCTTGAAGACAGTATTTTCCCTGCACCTACAGCTAGTATGTGGTCCTCAGCTATGAGAACCCACATAAATATTTCTTGTCTTAAAGGAATTTCTTGTATTATTGTTGTAAAAGAAATTATATCAAATGAGTCTAATTTAAATTTTGATCTGATATATAGTGTGTATGTGAAAAAATAAATATTTAGTGGTTTATGTCTGAATAATCATTTTCCTAAATTCTATTTTTAACATTTTAATAGTTTGATCATTTAATGATTAGGTATGCATCCTTCCTCTTTTGTGAATTGTCTCTTAAAATCTTACTGATCTCATAATTAATTATATGCCATATATATATATATATATACATATATACATATATACATAGGTGTGCATTTGCTTTTAATTCTGTGTGCTCTTTTTGTAGCAAGCAGATATTTTGAACACTAGTAACATTTATCTGTATTTCTCTGTATGATTTTTTCAATCACTTGTACTTCTAGTCCTTAATCTGTACTGTAATTTACTGTTAGCTCACATTTTCTTATGATATGATATGATTTATTTTTTTCCAATTCATTCTTTATTAATACATATGAAATTTCTGTAGGAATATATTAAGCTAACACACCTAAACACACATTTTACCTCCTCCCTACCCCAACCACCACCACTCTCTCTACCACCAGGTAGCTCACTAAATGCCATTGATAAAAATGTTTGAAGGAGAATTGGGGAATTAGTGGGAATTCCAAGGAGATGATGAGAGGCAATAGAGGATTCAGAAAAGTTGGGAGAAAAGCAGTAGATCAATCTAATGCTATTTTCTTCACCTTTTGCAGAGTGTAACACAGACCTTGAAAGACTGATTTGATGATTTCACAAATGTTTCTCATTCCTTAATCAATGTCATTACTCATAATATGACAGTAATATATTAAAAAATAGTGAAAATCAGCAACAGTGGTGGATAAAACAAAGCCTCACTTGCACTTCTGAGAAGTTGGAGTAGAAAAAGGCAGACAAGCTAGGGACCTCAGGACTGAGGAACAACACAGTGGTGAGTGCCCTTGGTTTTCTTTTTGCCTCTTATATCTAAGACTTGGAGCAGAAGATGCTGGCAACTGAGAAATATGTGGCCCATCAAAGACCTTAACAAATTTAAGAGAATTGAAATCATACAGAGCATGTTCTCTGACCACAATGGAATCAAATTGGAAATCAATAACAGAAAAACAAATGAAAAAATCCAAACGTGTAAACTACGCCTCTAAGTAATCAATGGGTCAAAGAAGTCTAGGCAAGATAACACATGGAACTGAATAAAAATTTAAAGCAACTTATTAAAATTTGTGTGACACAGCTAAAGCAGTATAGCCCTATGATTATATATATATATGTGTATGTATACGTATGTATGTGTATGTATACACACACACACACACACACACACACGGGTTTTTTGTCCACGATTCCTGGCTCACACTTCCATTGCCCTTATTACAGTCTTTGTTATAATGTTGGGGCATGTTAGGCCTTAGAAGCAAGCTTTAGGAAACAGAATCTTTCTTTCTGACTGTCTTCTGCCCTCCTTTCACCAGCCCAAGGCAAGACTCTAAGTGCATTGTGGGTCATAAGACCCTCATTTGAGAAGAGGTTCTATCCTATACCCTAGAGGAAGGGATGCTGCAGAGAGAGGCCAAGAAGAATCTGAACAGACAGGCCTTGCTAGGCTACCTCACTTGGTCTATTAGTATAACTTTTTTGTCCAGTCAAATTTCTACATAGTGGTCAGTCATGCCAATCCAATGAAGTCTCCATAGCAGGCCCAAGAGGACAGAATTCAGAGAGCTTCTGGATAGCTGAACACATAGAGTTCCTGGAGGGTGCCGTGCCTGAGGAGGGCATGGAAGCTCCATGCTTCTTCCCATACCTCACCCTATGCATCTCTATCTCTATCCTTTGTAATATCCTTCATAATAAACCAGTAAATGTAAGTTTCCCTGAGTTATGTGAGCCACTCTGGCAAAATAATCAGATACAAGGAGAAGGTCATGGGATCCTTAATTTATAGCTGGTAAATGAGGAGCACAGGTAAAACAACCTAGGGCTTGTGATTGGCATTGGAAGTGTGGGAGGGGCAGTCTTGGGGACTGAGCCCTCAACCTGTGAGAGCCGATGCTATCCTCAGGTAGAAGGTGTCAGAATTGAATTAAAGGACACCCAGCTGGTATCTGCTGCAGAATTAATTGTTTGTTTGGTGTGTGGAGAACCCCACCCACCTGCAATGCACACATACACATTTGGTCCCAGAAGTCTTCTGTGTTGATTGTTGTTGTGGTATGAGAGTGAAAGAAAAACTGTTTGAGATCTCTCTCCTCTCAGAGACCTATGACCAATAAAGAAACATAATTCAACATTTTAAATTTCCCCCCAAAGAAATCTCCATGCTTAGATGTTTAACTGAAGAATTTGATCAAAGTTTAAAGAAGAATTAGCACTACTTCTACACAATTTCTTCCAGAAAATAGAAAAGGTGAAAATACTTCCCAATTCATTTTATAAAGCTGGTATTGCCCTGATACCAAAACCAGATAATGACAGTATTAGAAAAGAAAAGGAAAAAAAAAGAAAAAGAAAGTAAACTACAGACCAATGTTCCTCATGAAAATGGATCCAGTCTTTATAAGTATTTACAAATAAAATCTAGCAATATATAGAAAGAATTATATATCATTATCAAGTGATATTTGCTTTAGTGATTCAATAATTGTTCAATATGCAAAAATGTTATCTATGAAATTAACATGCTTTGATATAGATAGATAATTAGACAAAATTGAACACTCATTCATGGAAAAAAAATCTCAAAATCTAAATAGAAAAACTTTACACCAGGGACTGTTGTGGGGTGGGGGGAGGGGGGAGGGATAGCATTAGGAGATATACCTAATGCTAAATGACGAGTTAATGGGTGCAGCAGACCAACATGGCACATGTATACATATGTAACTAACCTGCACATTGTGCACATGTACCCTAAAACTTAAAAGTATAATAATAATAATAAAAAAAAGAAAAACTTTCTCAACTTGATAATGACCACCTAAAAAACAAACAAAAAAACTCACTACAGCTAACCTTATACTTAATGGTGAAAGACTGAATACTTTTCTTTTAAGATCAGGAGCAAGGTAAGGATGTTTGCTCTTACTACTCTTATTTAACACAGTGTTGGAAGTTTTAGTCAGTATAGTAAAGCAAAGCAAAGCAATATAGATTGGGAAAATAAATATTATAACTGTCCTAATTTTCAGATGACATGTCTACATAGAAAACTCTTAGGAATCTACAAAAAACTTGTAGGACTAATAAATGAGTTGAGCAAGGTCACAAGATGCAGGAGAAACAGATTAATTGTGCCTTCATGTACTAGCAGTGAGCACATGGACACCAAAATTAATAACATAATACCACTAATGATCACTCAATTAAATGTTTAGGTATAACTCTAACATAACTTGCATAGGACTTGTATCCTGAAAACTACACAAGGCTGATAAAAGAAATAAAACTAAATCCAAATAAATATGTGGAGAGACACGTTCATAGACTGGAAGACTGACTGTAGTAAATATGTCAGTTCTCCCCAAATCGATATGTAGGTTTCACACTATTCCTATCAAAATCCCATTAAGGTTGTTTTGGCAAGATTATTCTAAAATTTTTATGTAAAGGCAAAGGAACTAGAATAAAACAATTTTGAAAGAAAATAAAGTAAATGAAATTGATCTACCTAGTTTCAACTTGGTATATAGCTACAGGAGCAAGGACTGCATGGTATTGTCAGAGGGTTAGACACATAGATTAACAGAGAATCTATGAACAGAGAATTCGTAAATGTCCTCACACAAATATATCTGCGATATTATGATATAACAATAATTATATATTTGGTCTCTACCCCTGCTTCCTGGCACACAGCTTCTAAATTTCTTGGAATTTCCTGGATGATAGGAATATCTTTTATTTTCATGAGGCAGCTCTTGGTGGAATTCTGGATAGTCTCAAGATGCGGACTTGTGGCCAGGGGAACAAACCGTGTGATTAGAGAACTGGAACTTTCAGCCTCACACCCCAACCTTTGGGGACAGGAGAAAGGTTAAAGTCCTGAGAGTTGGCCACCTTCGCCTATGATATAATCAAATCAACCATGACTGTGTAATAAAGCCTCCATAAACCCTTAAAAGAACAAGATTTGGAGAGCTTCTAGATTGTTGGCCACATGAGGTGGCGTTCCCAGAGAGGGCATGGAAGCTCCACACCCTTTCCATCTTACCTTGCCCTATGCACTTCTTCTATCTGACTGTTCATCTATATCCTTCATAATATCCTTTATAATAAATTTGCAAACCCAAGTAAAGTGTTTTCCTAAATTCTGTGAGCCAGTTTAACAAATGAATGCAACTCAAAGAGGCAGTTGTATGAATCCTGATCTATAGCCAGTTGGACAGAGCACAGATCACAACCAGGGGCTTGAGACTGGCATTGAAGTGGGAGACATTCTTGTGGGACTGAGCCCTTAACCTGTGGGATCTGATGCTATCTCCGGATAGTCAGAACTGAATTGAATTATAGTACATTCATCTGGTATCTGATGGAGAACTGCTTGTTGAGGGGGGAGTCCACAACACCCCCCACCGACACCTTGTATCAGAAATGTGTTGAGTAGTGTGTGAGAATAGAAGAAAAAAAGGGTTCAATTTTTTTTCTTCTGAAATGCCCAGTTGACATTTGACAATGGTGCAAAAATAATTCGTGGAAGAAAATACTGCATTTCAAAACATGGTGCTGGAGCAATTGGACATCCATAGACTTATGCCAAAACAAATAAGCAAGCAAACAAACAAACAAACACCTCAACCTAAGTCTCACATTTTATGCAAAAAATTAACTCAAGATAGTTCATGGACTTAAATATAAAACCTAAAACTATAAAACAAAAAAAGTAGAAGAAAATCTAGGGCTAGGTTAAGTTTTTAAACTCGATGCCAAAGCACAATCCCTAACAGAAAAAATGACAAATTGAACTTCATCACAATTTAAAACACTTGCTCTGAGAAATACCTGTTCAGAGGATGAAATGAAAAATTGCCTATTGAGATAGAATATTTTCAAACCATATATTTGACAAAAGACTAGTATCTAGAATACAATAAAAATTCTCAAATCTCAAAAGCAAAAAATAAATAAATAAAACCAAATCATCACCTCAATTAAAAAATTGACAAAAGACATGAGACATTTTAATTAAGAGGATTTGCAAATGGCAAATAAGGACATGAAACATTATTAGTCACTAGGGAAATTTAAACTAAAACCACAATGAGATATCACTAATGCCTATAAGAATGGCTAAAGTAATGATTCTAAAAATTACGTCAATAAATATCAACAAGGATGTGGAGAAACTGGATCACTCAGACTTGCTGATGGGAATGTAAAAAGGTGAAGCCTCTCTGTAAAACGATTTGGCAGTTTCTTTTTAAACTAAGCATACAGCAACCATATGAGACAACAATTGTATCCATGGGCACTTATCCCAGGGAAATAAAGATGTGTGCACATTACAAACCTGTACACAAATATTTGTAACAGTTTATAATATTCCCAAACTGGAAATAACTCAAATGCCTTCAGTAAGTTAAAGAAACTGTGGTAAATCCATGCCACAGAATACTATTCAGCAAAAAAGAACCAACTATCGAAACAGAACAACCTGGATGAATCTTGAGAGAAATATGCTGGGTGAAAAAAGCCAGTCTCAAACCAAATACCTCATTTTCTCACTTATTAGTGGGAGATAAACATTGAGTACACACGGACATAAACATGGGAAAAATAGACACTGTGGACTACTGGAGGTGTGAGGGAGAGATGGGAAGAAAGAGGGATGTGGGCTGATAAACTACCTACTGGGTATTATGCTCATGATATGGTTAGGCTTTATGTCCCCACCCAAGTCTCATCTTGAATTGTAATCCTCAGGTGTTTAGGGAGAGACCTGGTGGAAAGTGATTGGATTATGGGGACCGTTTCCTCCATGCTGTTCTTTTGATAGTGAGTGGATTTTCATGAGATCTGATGGTTTTATGAATGGTAGCTTTTTCTGTATTGACACACACTTGATCTCTTACCTGCTGCCATGTAAGACATGCCTGCTTCCCATTCTGTCATGATTGTAAGTATCCTGAGGCCTCCCCAGCCATGTGGAATTGTGAGTCAATTAAACCTCTTTTCTTTGTAAATTACCCAGTCTTAGGAAGTTCCTTATAGCAGTGTGAGAATGGACTAATACAGCTCACTACCTGGGTGATGGGATCCATACCCCTAACCTCAGCATCACGCAATATTTCCATACAGTAACCTGCACATGAAACCCTTGTATCTAAAATAAAAGTTGAAATTCATTTTAAAAGGTTATGGTCTATAAAACTCCATTTATGTAACTTTTTAGAAATGAAAAACTTATAGAAATTATAATAAACTACTGTCAGGGATTTGTCAGGGGATAAAGAGGTAGTCAGAGGGTAACGGGTGTGGTTATAAAAGAGCAACAGGAAAAAGAATCCCTGTGGGGTTGGAACTTGTTCTGTATCAGTATTAAGATCCTGGTTGAGATGCTGTGCTACAGTTTTGCAACTGATACCATTGGGGGAAACTGCATGAAGTGTCCATGGGATATCTCTGTTTTATTTCTTATAACTATATGTGAATCTACAATTATATTATAATAAAAAAAATTTAAAAAGGCCTTAACTTTATTTTCCACCAGAAAATGACTCCTGGACAGGGTTTACTTTTGAAGCTGGGTTTACTTTTGAAGCTGTACAGTGATTAATTCCTCTTACAACTTCCAAAATAACATCAATATTTTGGCTTAACAAATATTTTTGAATGCTTATTATAATCAAAACATAGTGATAATTACAATGGTTAAGTGGAATGATGAATTCAAAGTTGTATTCTAGGAGCTTGGAAACTATGGAGAGAGATAGAGATGTGCGTAGTAACTACATTCTATGGCAAGTAATGGCAAACATATGGTTGAAATGTGAGGAAAATATAATAAAATAGCATAGAAAGGATAGATTATCTACACCTACGGGTTATAAATGTCATAGGAATTGGGTGTGGAGAATAGATGGTATGACCTGAACCAGACTTAAAAAGATACAAAAGATTTCCTTAATTAATTACACAATATTTGCATTTCATTAGGCTAATTGGCTAATGAATGCTTCTAAGAAGATCTGGATTGTGCTGAAATTCTTGTAGGATGTTTAATATTTGCCAATTTCTATTCATAGTGATAAGTAACATGTGCCATGATGCCATATGGTGGCAAATCCCTTTCTAATTCTTGGAGAAGGAATGTTAGCAACCTCCTTTCATGTACACTTTTCAGGGTAAATTTAGTACAAAAACCATTTTAGTCACTGTCATGCAATTACATATCCAGGTGGTCAATTAGGACAATGAGTTATAGTAACACTCAAGTCTTTCTTTGCTTACTGCTACAGTGCAAACAAAGGGCAAGAAGAGAAGCCCCAGCTCCCTCCAGTTTCATTTTCCCCATGGAATGGACACAGGGTGAGGGGTAGGTGGACGCAGCACAGATGAGGGGAATCATCTCACTGCTGAGGACACCCAAACAAAAGTTTCATTCCTTCTGATGGACCTGTTTGGGGCAGGGGAGAGAGAAGGGGAAGGGTTAGGTATAGAAAAGTACCAAGTCAAAGTGGATAAAAGTGCCTCAGGCAAGACCCCCAGCAAGGAGACCTCCAAGTGGGAAGCTGGGCTAGGAATGCAGATAGTGTATGAGAGTATGAACATGGTCAGCTGTGGCAGGGCAGAAGTTGGGGGCATGAGGGGAATGTTTTTGACTGTAACTCTCTCCAGAGAACTATGATGTACTGGCTGTGGTATAGGGAGGGTAGTTTCCCCTTCTGAGATGTGCCAGACAAGGCCTTGTGATTGCGTATGGTTGTGCCTGAAAGATCCCCATAGGATTTTGGCCAGGAGCTAGATTCCTCATTGACCCAGTAGCATTTTGACTTCAGGAAAATCTCTTGAGGTCCCACATCTACATATACAATTTTTTGTGTGAATCTTTCAGGTAGTAGAAAAATACTCTCATTGATTATTTCTAGTGTCAAGCAATATACTAGGTCTGGGCATGATTAAGAATTTCCCAATACTGTATTTAAGCATGGATAGCGCATTGATTTTATTTTTCTATCAATGTATTAAGTAATTTAGAAGTTAATTTGGATAAATAAGTACACATTGAATCTAATTTAGATGTTAATTTGGATAAATAGGTAAACATTCGATCATATCAGAAGTTACAATCTACCAAACCATCTTGGCAGAATAACAATAGCCATTAGAATTTATCACATACAGAATACATGTTTCATTTTTCGTGTACCATTGGCACTTCTAATATGGACACTTCAATGTGGACAACACAATAACTGTAGGTGATGTGCATTACTTTAGTGCTTTTGCTTTCAAGAAGGTAAGTTTATAGCAGGAAGCTTATATAAAACTGGTCATAAAAATACTTCTGTGCTACCTACAGCCTAATAATCATAACTAGTAGCATATGTTTATCAGTGGGAACCAAAAACTTAATTTTAGAAATATAAGAATTAAATAATATGTGAATGTGAGAATATTAATGCTTTTCCTTGTATATTCCAAAGGTCCTTATATATGAGCCTAACAAATGTATGTTGTGATGGAGCGCAGGAAATGCTACTTAAAAATGTGGCACCTTGGTGTACTATTTTAAGCTGAAGGAAATTGAGAAAACTGCAGAAGCAGGAAGGTCTCTCTGACCTTCTTCCGCCCTCTCTCCTGAAGTGAGGAGAATTCCCCTTACCTCTTCTTCCCCAAAGCAAACCATAAAACCTAGGAAAGTGACTCTGACCTTCTTCCTCTCCTCTCCCCTGAAGACTCTCATGTGACAGTTGTCCTGCCCTATACGTTGAGGGAAGGCATGTTACACAAAAAGGCCCAGAAGAAACTGAACAAACAGACCTTGCTAACTTTCCCCAACTTTAATATCATTGGATCATTCCTTTTGTCTTCAAATCATACATCTGTGTGACTGTTCACAAAAATACAGTGTTCTCTGGGTCTTTGGGTCTTAATTTCTGAAGGCTACTATGGCATGCAAAACTTAAATAAATGTATGCTTTTCTCTTGTTAGTCTTTTTGTTATAGGGGTCTCAGCCATGAACGTTGTGATGACTCAGGAAAATATATTAATTTTTCTCCCTTATAGTTGAAGAAACGCAGAAATGGTAGTATTTTCGATAGTATTTGATATTGAAGGTGGCTTCTCCTCTCGGCCCCTCCTTCCAGTTTTGGCCCAGGTCTCATCTTTCTTGTACTCCCTTCTAAGACAATACATAATAAATAATCCCTCTTGCACATGTAGTCTTTCATTTAATTTAAAATGGCTTTAATTTCCCATGAAATACATCTCCAATTTCTTAATATTTAAGCTTTGTGAGAATAGTATTCTTTCCTTTTACTAAATATTATAGCTAGCCAAAATTCCTGGAATATGCTGAATACTTCGGAGGATGAATTTTAGATATATACTGTTTTTCCAGTATACAATATTATATTTTTAATGTTTCGGATACTATATTTTCAAATCTCCTTCCAAGTAATTTTTCCCCATATGTTCAAGTTAATCTTAAAGTACAATATGTAGAATTAAAGGAATATTTATTTTGGTGAATGTAGAGTAATTGATGCAGTCCAAGACCAATTACTCCTTTAACAAACATATTATATTGTTAGGTTAATTATGCCTCCCTATTCACAGTTGGCTTCTAAATATTTAGCCTATTGCCAAATACATACTCACAAATGGAATGTTAAAAAGAGATAAAACTATGTGACTTTACCATATTTATCCCCCAGGGCTCTTGGAGCCAAGCGCACATTTGAATGTCTTTAAATTATCTGAATTTTCTTTTTTTAAAAAAGAAAAAAATTTAAATGTGAGTGATGTTTTGGCTGGTGATATAAATCAAACCTTAAAATACCACAAGAAACACTTTTGTACACATCCCTATTGACCTTTGTTGTCTAACATTTACGCATTTTAGTTTCTCAGGATTGTTGAGGTTTTAAACATAAAAACAATTAGTGTTATTTACTGGGGGTCCGATAGAAACCATATATATTTTCTATCTATCTATCTATCTATCTATCTATCTATCTATCTATCTATCTAGTCTATCTGTCTATCTATCATCTATCCATCTATCATCTAATCTATTATCTATTATTTATCTATCATCTATCTATCTATCTATCATCTATCTCTATCTAACCTTTCTCTCTCTTTCCATGTAAAAATATGTGTATTTCACAGTGCTTTCCACTTAGTATAAATGATTTAAAAGAGCTTGACAATGGAAAGAATGCTTCTTTGGCACATTTGTACTGCACATCCCACTTTTTAACTGCTGATCTCCATGTCCAGTCCTGGGGTTTCTATGCTGTCAGCCTTCAAACTGCCTTAAAATCATGCATACCTTGTGGCTGCAGAAAACTGGGAAATAAACTCATGGCTGAGCACACTTTAAGGAGCACGGTAAAAGTCTAATCAATCACTTGCATTCCCATAGTTCCACTTCCCAGTACATAATAAAGATTAAGAGGGCAGTAACAATAATTAAAGAAATCTCATAATAGGAGACATATTTTTAGTGGTCTTTTTAAAGATTCAGCTTGTTTTCACTTTTTTTTCCAGCTTTGGAGCACATAGGTAAAAAAATTAAGAGGACAGAGTATAAGAATCATAGAAAAAGATGATAAAATTGGTTGTTCTAAAGTCAGAGAATTTCCCTAAGAAAATACATTGTAATGAGTAAAACCAGTTTTCTGAGTTTAATAAATGTAAAGTTTATATTCATAATTTCTAATATTATCTTATGAGTAGTTACAATTATCTCATATTTGTAACCTGAGTGACCGTATCATTTCATCATGAATTCAGACCATTTTAAAGTGACTAGATGAATTATTAGGCCTGGGCAATAGGCATAAACACAGATTGCTGCAGACAAATGAACACGTTATGGTCATGCCCTTAGAGTATTTAGTGACTAAGAGGTAATCACTGAATTCAACCACATTTCAAGCTTTTGTTTCTTTGCTTTCCTGGATTTTCCTCTTTTATTCTTGTCTTTTCTACTGCCTGAAATGTTTTTTTCCTGAGATATTCACATGGATGACTGTTTCTTATCACTCAAATTTTAGCTTGCTCATTTTTGGAGAGCTCTTTCAGGGACCACGTTATCGCCACCTCCTCCACTGCCTACTCACACTAATACAGCATCCAGTTTCCTTTTCTACGTAGTTACAATAATGATCTGAAATTATCTGGCTTATTTATTTACTTGTTAATTATTTGTCTTTTTTTCATTCAGTTGTAAGCTCCATGAGCAAGGGAACTGTTCTACAGAGAAAACTGTTTAGAACATGAGAGAATTTCTGGCTCAGTGAAAATGTGTTCAGTTCGTGAACAAATAAGTAACAAAGTGGCAGCAATACCAAATTAGACTGGTGTTTAGATGTGGAACTAGAAAGAATGAAAACTAACTTGAATTTAATGTTTAGATTAATTGAGGTTCCTATGTTATTATGAATTTTGGAAAATGTAGACTTGGTTCTGTTAACTTGATTTTAAGAAGTTTGGGTTCATTTGAATAAAAGATACAGTTTGTGGTTTGGGATGGAACATCTAATGGTTTCTGTTCTCAATCTCATCAGATGACAATTCACCTTAGGTTCTTAGTCCACTTTATAATCACAGAAATAATATATGAGGAATTCCCAAAATGAATATCTTCCACATGAAAGTGTTTACAATAAATGGAAATCATACCAGGTTGTTAGAGAGGTATAAAAATAGCCATGTATACTCTGTACCATGGATGAGATTTAACTTTATGTTTGGAAATGCCCAGATGTTTCTAAATTAGTTTATTTTTTATGGATATATAATAGTTGTATATATTTTTGGGATACATGTGATACCTTGATGCCTGTATACAGTGTGTAATGATCAAAACAGGGTAATTGGTTTATTTATTACCTCAAAAATTTATCTTTTCTTTGTGGTGGGAACATTGCAGTTCTTCTCTTCTATTTTGAAGCATACAATAAATTATTGTCCACTATAATTTCCACACTCTAATATCAAATTCTTGAGTTTATTTCTTATATCTAACTGTGTTTTTGTACACCTTAACCTACTTTTTCAAATCCTCCTTCATCCCTTCCCTTCTCAACTTTTGGTAACCACCATTCTACTTTCTGCATCCATGACACCCACTGCTTTAGCTCTCATATGTAAGTGAGAACATGTAATATTTGTCTCTGTGCCTGGCGTATTTCACTTAACAATGGTCTCCAGTTCTATACATGTTGCTGCAAATGACAGGATTTAATTCTTTTGTATGGCTGAATAATATTCCATTGTGTATATATATTGCATTTTCTTTCTCCATCTGTTCCTGGAGACAGGTTAATCCCATATTTTGGCTGTTGTGAATGACACTGCAATAAACATGGGAGTACAGATTTCTCTTCAACATACTGATTTCCTTTCTTTTGGATATACACTCAGCAGTGGCATTCTTGGATTACATAGTAGTTCTATTTTTTTTAGGAATCTCCATACTCTTATCCATAATGGCTATACTACTTTACATTCCCACCATCAGTGTATGAGCATTCCTCTTTCTTTGCATCTTTGTCAGCATTGGTGATTTTTTTGTATTTTTGATAATAACCATTCTAACCAGGGTGAGATGATATATTAATGTGGTTTTGATTCCCATGTCTCTGATGATTAGGAATGTTGAGCATTTTTTTCATATACATGTGGGCCATTTATATGCATTCTTTTAAATGTCTATTATGGTCTTTTGCTCACTTTTTAATCAGATTACTTGTTTTATTGCTACTGAGATGTTTGAGTTTGTTAGATATTTTGGTTATTAATTGCTTCTTGGATGGATAGTTTGCAAATATTCTCTCCCATACTGTAGGTTGTCTCCTTACTCTGCTGATTGTTTTCTTTGTTGTGCAGAAGTGTTTTGGCTTGATGTGATTCAATTTGTCTATTCTTGCTTTGGTTGCCTGTGCTTTTGAGCCAAAAAATCTTTGCCCAGACTAATGTCCTATAGCATTGTCCAATATTTCCTTTTAGTTTTTTCATAGTGCCAGGTTTTACATGGACATATTTAATTAATTTTAAGTTGATTTATGTGCAAGGTGAAAGATAAGTCTCTAGTTTTATACTTCTGCATGTGGTTACCCAGTTTTCCCAGCAAAATTTTTTCAAGACTGTCCTTTCCCCAATATGTATTCTTGACACCTTCGTTGAAAATGAGTTGGCTGTGGATGTATGGATTTATTTCTGGGCTTTCTATTCAGTTCCATTCGTCTATGTGTCTGTTTTTATGCCAGTACCATGTTGTCTTGGATACTATAGCTATGTAGAATAATATAAGATAGTGTGATGCCTGCAGCTTTATTATTTTTGCAAGGATTGTTTTAGCTATGTTGAATCTTTTGTGGTTGCATGCAAATTTTAGGATAGTTTTTTTCTATTTCTGTGAAGAATGTCATGGGCATTTTTATAGGGATTGCATTGAATCTGTAGACTGGTTTGGGTAGTGTAGACATTGTAACAATATTAATTCTGCTAATCCATGAGCCTAAGATATCTTTCCATTTTTTTGTGTGTCCGCTTCAATTTACTTCATCAGTGTTTTATAGTTTTTCTTGTAGAAATATTTCACTTCTTTGGTGAAATTGACTTCTAGGTAGCTATTGTAAATGAGATTGCTGTCTTGATTTCTTTTTCAGATTGATTGCTATTAGTATATATAAACACTACTGGTTGCTATATGTTGATTTTATATCCTGCATCTTTACTGAATTCATTTGTCAGTTCTAAGAGTTTTTGGTAGAGACTAGTTTATTATAAAAATAATATTGTACCATCTGCAAACAAGGATAATTTGATGTCTTTCTGTCCAATTTAGATACCTTTCATTTCTTTCTATTGCTTAATTGCTCTAGTCTCATCAAGAATTCCAGAACTATGTTGAATAAAGGTGGTGAAAATGGGCATCCTTATCTTGTTTCAGATGTTAGTGCAAACGGCCTTCAATTTATTTTTATACGTGAAGTGAGTTTCTTGTACACAGCCTATATTTGGGTCTTATTTTTAAATGCATTCATTTACTGTATGTCTTTTAATTAGAGAATTTAGTCCATTTACATTCAATGTTATTATTGATAGGGAAGGTCTTAGCACCACCATTTTGTTACTTGTTTTCTAGCTGTTTTGTAACTCCTCTCTATTTTTCTTCTTTTCTTACCATCTTCCTTTGTGGTTAAGTAATTTTCTCTGGTAGTATGTTTTAATTTACTGATTTTTATTTTTAGTGCTATTACAGGTCATTTCTATGTTGTTACTATGAGGTGTAAAAAAACATCCTATAGTTATAAGAAGTTTTTAAGAACTGGTACCAACTTTACTTTGATTTCCAAAAATAATATAACCAAGCCAAAAGAAAAAAAACTAATACTGTACACATTAACTCCCTTCTTCCCCCACATTTTGAATTTTTGGTGTTATGATTTACACTAATATATTGCCTCTCAACAAATTGTTATTATTATTTTTAATAGTTTTAGCTCTCTTAGTAAAGCTATAAGAGGCTTACATAACATAATTACAATATTAGTAGCATTCTTTTTTAAAACTTTTTTGTTTTAAAGAACTCCTTTTAGCATTTCTTGTAGGACAGGTCTGGCAGTTATCAATTCCCTCATGATTTTGTTTGTCTGGGGAAATATTTATCTTTCCTTCATTTCTGAAGGACAGCTTTGCTGAGTACAATATTCTTTGTTGACAGTTTTTTTTGTTTTTTTATTTTCTTCAGCATTCTGAATACATCGTCCTACTCCTTTCTAGCTTGTAAGGTTTCTATTAAGAAGTATGCTGCTAGGCATTTTGGATCTCCCTTATATGTTATTTGCATCTTTTCTATTGCTGCTTTCAGGATCTTGTTTTTGTCTTTGACCTTTGAACCTTTGATTATAATATGTCTTGGGGTATTCTTATTTAGGTTGAATCTGCTTGGTGACCTTTGACATTCCTGTACCTGGATATTACATCTGCTTCCAGTTTTGGAAAGTTTTTTGTTATTATCCCTTTGAATAATCTATTTCTCTGACTTTCTCAGTTTCCTCTTTAACACCAATGACCTGAATACTTGCTTTTTTGATGTTGTCCTATAGACTCTACAAGATTACTTCATTCACTTTCATTCTTTTTTCCTGTATCTCCTCTAACTCTATATTCTTAAATAGCCTGTCTTTGAGCTCACTGATTCTTTCTGCTATTTGATAAATTCTGTCTTTGATGTGCTTCATTGCATTTTTTATTTCATTGATGGTATTTTTCACCTCCAGGATTTCAGTTTGATTTTTTAAAAATTATTTAAGTCTAGCTGTTAAATTTCTCTAATAAAATATTGAATTGTTTCTCTGTGTTTTATTTACATTTGTTGAGCTTCCTTAAAATGGCTATTTATCTCCATCACTTCAGGGTCAGTCTCTGGTACCTTATTTTGTCCATTTGATAAGTTTATATTTTCCTAATGTTCTTTATGACTGTGGACATGTGACAATGTATGTGAATCAGGGATTAGGTATTAATTTTAGCCTTTGAATTCTGACTTTGTGATTATTCTTAGAAGGCCTTCCAGGGATTCTAAGCAGACTGACCATAATCTTCGCTGAACCTGTGACCACTACAGCTGTGTCAGCACTAGAGGATGCTCTAAGTCCAGGCTTGCTGCATGTCTTGCAAGACTGTGAGGTTGATGTAGCTTTCCAGCCCAGATAGGATCTGGGGAAGACCCAAGTAGGTTACTGGGACTGTGTGGACATGCTGGCCAGAGACCTAAGTCCAGAAGACTGTCCTAGTGGCTCGGATGGGCATATTTCCCAGCATGTCATTGCACAAGTGGAATGGGTTCCCAACTGTAGCAAGAAGAGACAAAGTTGAGACTATGACTCTTTGGGATCTACTGTGAGAAGGAGGCTGGTGAGATTGTCTTGTTGGATAAGATGGGGGTGCATCTTCCAGAAGATCACTGCACAGATGAAATAGTCCCCCAGCTGTAGCAGAAAGTCTGAAGTTGAGACTGAGCCCCCTCAGAATCTTCTGTGTGACAAAAGCTAGAGTGACTGGTCTTGTTGGCTCAGAGGAGCATGTGTCTCTTAGCAAGTCCTAGGAAGACAGGATAGGTTCCTGATTTCAGCAGGAGGGCCTAAAGCTGAGTAACACCTCCTTGGGGTATGCTTAGGACAGAGGCTGGAGAGCCTGGTCATGACTCTGAGGTGTGTGCATCGTTAAGCAAGTTCCTGCCCAGATATTATAGTTCTCCATCTGCAATGGAAAAAGCCAGAGCTGAGACTGGGTCCCCTTGAGATGTGCTGTGTGATGCAGGCTGGCATGTGTACCACATTGGCTCAGATGGGTGTGCATCTCCCAGAAGGTTTCTGCACAGGTGGGATTGTTCCTTAACTATAGTAGGAGGGAACAGAGCTGAGACTCAGCACTCTTGGAATCTGCTGTAGGAAGAGTTTGGAGATCCTAGTTTTAGCTCATAAGGGTGCATGCTGCCCAACAAGCTCTTTCACAGATAGGATAGTTCCCTCATTGTGGTAGAAGGGGCTGGAACTGAGACTGGGCCCCTTCAGGATCTACTGTGGGATACAGCCTGGTCTCATTGGCTTGGAAGGCATGTGTCTCCTAAGAGGACCCTACACAGATGAGAGAGTTCCCCAACTATAGCAGAAGGGGCTGAAGCTGCATGTGAACCCCTTCAGGATCTGTTGTGAGATAGAAGCTGGAGCTTCCTTCTTATGGGCTCAGACAGAATCACATCTCCCAGAAGTTCTCACAGCATAGATGAGATAGTTTCCTGACTATATCATGATGGACTAGAGCTGAAACTGGCCCCACCTTGGGATTTGCTGTGGGACAGAGGCTGAAGAGTGCAGTCTTATTGCCTCAGAGGAAATTGTGTCTCCCAGAAAGCCTCTGCAAAGAGGGATAGTTCCCTCACTACAATGGGAGGACCTGGAGCTGAGACTAGGTCCTCTTGGGATCTGCTGTGGGATGGAGGTTGGTGAGCCCATCAGGGAGGCTCAGACTCCTGGGCTACAAGATATGGGTGAGTCTCCCTCTGAATTCTTGCGTGAGTAGCTCTGAGCTAGGGGAGCAACTGAGAGTGACTGGAGCTGAGACACAGGACAACTTTCAGGTTCATAGCTGAAGGCAGACAAGCCTTTCTGCCAAGGCACCAGAGTATGCAATTCCTTCTGGACCCCTTGGCAGATGGCTTTGATTGCATGCTCTAGGCCAGTCAGGGCTATAACCAAGCCCTTTGGGGGACTGCGACATTTCAACATTTGAACCCAGGAGCAAGCTTGGCAGTTCAGCCACTTGGATAAGAGTCTGCACTTTCAAAATGATCCTCCAAGGTTTTGGGCTCCATGGGGCTTTACAAACTTCTATTTGAATCCTGAAGCTCCTGTAGAGAGACTCTTGACTGTGGATGGGTGCAGAATTCTTGTTGTTGGGGGATATGAGCAGGTTACCTTCTATTCTACCATCTTAGTGAAGTCACTCCCTCTCTAGGTTTGTTTTACCAATATGCAATCACAACCCTGAAACTCATTTATCATCTACTGTTAGTAGGAGACAGACTGAAATTTTTACTGGCAAAGTCTTCTTCTATTGTCTTGAATATGATAAAAAAAAATTTTATTATATCAATATTAATTGCATCAACATTTCTTGAAAAGCACATTGTATGCCATTGAAAGAAAAGAAAACATTCTGAAATGGATTGATTTTTCTGGAGACTTTTTTAGAATGAAAAACAAAAAGCATTAAATTCGTACATATATACTACTTGTAAGTTGGATGAGAAAAATACTACTCTTCAATTGAAACATTTTTTATAGACTGAAGGATTCTTGAAACAGCTGTAGGAGAAAAACTGGAAAACAACTTTATCTTGTATGTGACAATTATCTAACTTGGTCTAATTCCAATAACACAGCTACAATTCTAGATAAGTACGTAAGCAACATTCAACATTCGAGGGACATTGGAAGGGTATCCTGCCTAAAATTCTCTTAAGCTCCTATTGTCCTTACTTCCCCAATTTTTTTTCTTTGTACCTGAAATATGACCTTTAGTTAAGGTTCTATCCATGGCCGGTCATTGTGGTTTATGTCTGTAACTCCAGAGCTTTAGGATGCCAGGGCAGGAGCATCGCTTGAGGCCAGGAGTTCAACACAAACCTGGGCAACAAAACTTTAAAAATTTTTGTCTCTACAAAAATTTAAAACATTAGCTGGACATGGTGGTGTGTGCCTGTAGTTCCAGCTAATCAGGAGTCTGAGGCAAGAGGATCTCTTGAGCCCATGAGTTCGAGGTTACAATGAGCTGTGATGCTACTTGCACTCCAGCTTGGGCAACAGAGTGATAGCTTATCTCTAAAGAAAAAAATAAAATAAAACAAGAGGTGAGAAAAACCATAGGCATTTGCCAAAATCAATATTTTAAAAATATTCTATTTACAATGTATTTATGATAAAAGACGTCTTTCTCTATATACTTTTTCCCCAAACCCTTCTTTTCCACACTTACTCTTTCTTACATTATTAATAAAAGCATTTTATGTTGTAAGTTTTTTGTGAATCCTTGGAGATATCATTGTAAATAGTATTTTAAAGGTTATTTCTAGATGCTAGTTAAATGTTAGTAAGCCTTTAGGGACAGTGACAAGGATACTCAGTGACACGGGGTAAGAATCTTTCAAATATGATGAAATTTCCAGTAACAAATAGTTAAAAAGAAAAAAAAATTCTTCTGAGCCCTAACAAGATGAATTTCCATGGCTGCTGGTTTACTCCTCAAACCTAAAACTGGACAAAGAAAAGACACTGATGTATTTTGTGACCTAAGACAAATGGTAATAAACTCCTAGGAAGAGAGAAAATATTTGGGACTCTGTCTGCAATGGAGACACTGGGAGTTGAGGTCAGCAGAGAATTAGATGTCACATACTGGGTGAGCGGCTTTATAGTTGTGCCTTTTTCTCTCCCCTACTTAACCCTGAAGGGACAGTTGCTTGTATATGCACTATTGTGCACATAAAAACTGGTGGTACCAAAGCAGAACCAGCCAGAGGTAACAGGGTGACATCATTACAATGTGGAAGTCTAGCTGAGCTGATTATATTTACAGCAAATAAGTGGGCTAGCCCCTGAGAATTTTCTTCTCCCTATTCTTTATCTAAGTAATTCTAACTGAGAGAAGCAGCTCAGGGCAAAGTACAGAGCCAGGGATCAAAAAAGATATACTGAGAAAATATCAATTCAAGGGAAAGTTTTGATGTTGATTTTAAAATTAAAATATAATCTAAAAAAACATCATATGGGTCAAGTTATGGGAATTTTTGTTTGAGACAGAGCAACTTTGTGAGGGTGGAGTATGGGAAGAGAGTGCACCAGAGGTGGGTGAATAGCTGGTAATAACAAAGACTCTCTTCCTCGAGTTGTGTCCCACATATTTCCCCTAAATTGTCATAGGGGCAAAAATCTCTGTGCTGTGACTGACTATTCCCCTAAGTAACTAATGACCAACCAATGAAGCTGATGCACTCAGAGGAATGTAAGTTTCCAGGAAAATTTGTTTATAAATAAAAATTGAACTGACTGACAGAAATAATTAGAAGAATTAATGATTTAATGTATTTATCCAATACTTATTTATTTATTATGTTAAAAGTACAACATCCATCAAAACATTGAAAAGACAACTCAGAAGATGGAGGCAATTTTTACAAAACATATGTCTAATTATTAAATCACATATGTGATAGACTGACTATATAAAGAACTTAAAACTCAATAATGAAAGACAAAGACAATAATGAAAACAAAATGGGGAGAGCATCTGAACAGACATATTTTCAAAGACGATATATGTACACATGGCCAATAAGCACATAAAATTCTCAACATCTGTAGATATAAGGAAAATGTAAATTAAAACCATAAAGAGATACCACTGCACACACATTAGGATGGCTATAATAGAAAATAAGAGGGCAGAGCAAGATGGCAGAATAGAAGCCTGCATTATTTGTTTTCCACCACCTCCATTCCCACTGGAACACCAAATTTTAACAACTATCTTCACACAGAAAAGCACCATCACAAGAACCAAAAATCAGGTACCAGCTTGGCTACAGTGGGATAGAGCAACAAGCAGCCTCTTGGAGAAATTGAGTCCAGGCTTAGGCTCCTGGACAGCATTTCTGGACATGCACAGGGTCTAGGGAAATTTACCACCCTGAAGGGAAGGACCAGTGCCATGCTAGCTTCAGGTCTGACCCAGTGCAGTCCCAGTGGTGGTGGCCACAAAGGTACTTGCATCACCACATCTCCAGTCCCAGATGCTTCAGAACAGAGAGAGAAATTCTGTATGCATGGGATAAAGTAAGAGAAAAGAACAAGAGTCTCTGTCTGATAATCTAGAGAATTTTCCTGGATCTTATCCAAGATCACCAAGGAAGTACCTTTATGAGTCCACAAAAACCAAGCATTATAGTGCTTGGAGCCCAAGTCCCTTTGAATACCTGGAGAGCTTTCCCAAGAACAGGCACAAATGAACCCAGACTTTGAAGACTATAATAAATAACACACTCTTCAATGCCAAGAGAGAAAAGAACATCTACTAGCATCAACAGTATCCAGGAAAACGTGACCTTACCAAATGAACTAAATAAGGCACCAGGGACCATTTCCGGAGAAACAAGACAGAGAATTTAAAATAGCCATTTTGGGGAAACTCAAAGAAATTCAAGATAATACAGAGAAGGAATTCAGAATTCTATCAGATAAATTTAACGAGGAGATTTTAATAATTACAAAGAATCAAGCAGAAATTCTAGTGTTGAAAAATGCAAATGACATACTGAAGAATGCATCAGGGTCTCTTAATAGAAAAAAATTGATCAAGTAGAAGAATTTGTGAGCTTGAAGACAATCTATTTGAAAATACAGTAAGAAGAGACAAAATAAGAAAGAATTTTAAAAAATGAAGCACACCTGCAAGATCTAGAAAGTGGCATTAAAGGGCAATTCTAAGAGTTTTTGGCCTTAAGGAGGAGGTAAAGAAGGAGATAGAGATAGGAAGTTTATTCAAAACAATAATATCAGAGAACTTCCAAACCTAGAGAAAGATATCAACATTCAAGTACATGAAGGTCATAGAACACAAAGCAGATTTAACCCAAAGAAGACTACCTCAAAGTGTATAATCAACAACCTCCTAAAAGTCAAGAATAGACAAAGGATCTTAAGAGCAGCAAGAAAAATAAACAAATAACATGCAATGGAGCTCCAATACATCCGGCCGCAGACTTTTCAGTGGAAACCTTATAGGCCAGAAGAGAATGGCATGACATATTTAAAGTGCTACAAGAAAAATTGTTTAGCCTACAATAGTATATCCAGTGAAAATATCCATCAAACATGAAGGTGAAATAAAGAGCTTCGCAGACCAACAAAAACTGAGGGATTTCATCTACACCAGATGTGTTCTACAAGAAATGCTGAAGGGAGTTGTTCATTCTGAAAGAAAACGGTGTTCATGAGCAAGAAGATATCATCTGAAGGTACAGAATTTACTGATAATAGTAAGCACACAGAAA
The DNA here is from genome assembly GCF_000001405.40 of Homo sapiens. Classification (NCBI taxonomy): domain Eukaryota; kingdom Metazoa; phylum Chordata; class Mammalia; order Primates; family Hominidae; genus Homo; species Homo sapiens. The sequence goes on along the minus strand of NC_000004.12, from coordinate 97,294,804 downwards.
AACACAGAATATGAAAACACTGTAATTGTAGTGTATAAACTTGTATTGACTTAAGAAGAAAGACTAAGTGATTAACCAATTAAAAATAATAAATATAACAACTTTTCAAAACATAGACAGTACAATAAGACATAAAGAGGAACAAAAAAAAGTGAAATAGCAGGGGGGATGAAGTTAAAGTGAAGAGTTTTCATTATTTTTCTTTCTTTTTGTTTGTTTCTTTGTTTTGTTTATGCAAAGAGTATTAAGTGTCATCAGCTTAAAATAATGAGTTATAAAACAGTATTGGCAAGCTTCATGGTAACCTCAAATCAAAAAACATAAAATGGATATACAAAAAATAAAAAGCAAGAAATTAAAGCATACTACCAGGGAAAATCACCTTCACTAAAAGGAAGACAAGAAAGAAGGAAAGAAGGAGGAGAATACTGCAAAACAACTGGAAAGAAGATAACAAAATGGTAGGAGTAAGTACTTACTTATTAATAATAACATTGAATGTAAATACACTAAACTCTTCAATCAAAAGATCAAAAGACATAGAGTGGCTGAATGGATGAAAAAATAAGAACCAACGATCTGTTGCCTAAAAGAAACACACTTCACCTATAAATACATATGTAAACTGAAAATAAAGGGCTAGAAATAGATATTCCATCTAAGTAGAAACCAAAAAAGAGCAGATTTGCTATACTTATGTCAGATAAAATAGATTTCAAGGCAAAAACTGTCAGAAGATAAAAAGAAGGTCATTATATAATGATAAAGGGGTCAATTCAGCAAGAGGATATGATGGTTATAAATATATATGCACTCAACAATGGAACACCCAGATATATAAAGCAAATATCACTAGAGCTAAAGAGAGAGGGAAATCCCAATACAATACTAGCTGGAGACTTTAACACCCCACTTTAGCATCAGACAGATCTCTCAGACAGAAAATAAACAAAGAAACATTTGACTTACTCTGCACTATAGAACAAATGAATCTAATAGATATTTACAGAACATTTTACCCAATGGCTGCAGAACACACATTTTTCTTCTCAGCACATAATCGTTTTCAAGAATAGTCTATATGTTGGGTCACAAAACAAGTCTTAAAACATTTAAAAAATTGAAATAATATCAAGCATCTTCTCTGACCACAATGAATAAAACTAGAAATCAATAACAGGAGAAATGTCGGAAACTATACAAACACATGGAAAATAAACAACATTCTCCTGAAAGACCAGTGGATAAATAAAGAAATTGAGAAGGAAATTGATAAATTTCTTGAAACAAATAATGGAAACACAAAATATCTAAACCTATGGGATACAGCAAAAGCATTACTAAGAGGGAAATTTATAGCTCTAACTGCCTACATCAAAAAACAAGAAAAACTTCAAATAAATAACCCAATGATGCATCTTAAAGAACTGGAAAAGCAAGAGCAAATTAAAGTAAAAATTAGTAGAAGAAAATAAATAACAAAGATCAGAGAGAAATAAATGAATTTGAAATGAAGAAAATAATACAAAAGATCAATGAACAAAAAATTGTCTTTTGAAAAGATAAAACTGACAGACATTTAGCTAGACTAACAAAGAAAAAAAGAAGATCCAACTAAATAAAATCATAGATTAAAAAGGAGACATTACACTGATACCACAGAAATTCAAAGGATTATTTGTGGCTATTATGAGCAAATATATGCCAATAAATTGGAAAATCTAGAGGACATGAATGAATTCCTAGATTCATAGAACCTGCCAAGATAGAACCATAAAGAAATATAAAACCTGAACAGACCAATACGTAACAAGATAGATGTCATAATAAAAAGTCATTAAAACAGACACATAGACCAATGGAACAGAATAGAGAACCCAAAAATAAATCTGCACACCTACAGTGAACTCATTTTTGACAAAGGTGCTGAGAACATACATTAAGAAAAGACAGTCTCTTCAATAAATTTTTCCAGGAAAGGGAAAACTGGATATCCATATACAAAAGAATGAAACTAGACCCCTATCTCTCACCTTATACAAAAATCAAATCCAAATGGATTAAAGGCTTACATCTAAGACCTCAAACTATGAAACTGCTTCAAGAAAACATGGGGGAAACTCTCCAGGACATTGGTCTGGGCAAACATTTCTTGAGTAATACCCCAAAAGCATAGGCAAGCAAAGTAAAAAAGGACAAATGAGATCACAAGTTAGAAATCTTCTTCACAGCAAAGGAAGCAGTCAGCAAAGTAATGAGATAACCCACAGAATGGGAGAAAATATTTGCAAACTACCCGTCTGATATGAGATTAATAACCAGAATATATAAGGAGCTCAAACAACTCTATAGGAAAAATAATCTAGTAATCCAAATGTTAAAATGGGCACAAGATCTGAATAGACATTTCTCTAAAGGAGACATACAAATGGCAAAGAGGCATATGAAACCATGCTCGATATCATTGATTATCAGAGAATTACAAATCAAATCTACAAAGAGATATCATCTTAGCACAGTTAAAATAACTTATAAACCAAAGACAGGCAATAACAAATGCTGGTGAGGATGTGGAGAAAAGGGAACCCTCAGACACTGTTGGTGAGAATGTAAATTAGTACAACCACTATGGAAAACAGTTTAGAAGTTCCTCAAAAACTAAAAATCGAGCTACCATATGATCCAGCAACCCTAGTGCTGAGTATATACCCAAAAGAAAGGAAATCAGTATGTCAAAGAGATATCTGCACTCCCAGGTTTGTTGTAGCACTGTTCACAATAGCTAAGATTTGGAAGGAACCTAAGTGTCCATCAACAGATGAAAGGATTAAAAAATGTACATATACACAATGGAATACTTGTCAGCCATAGCGAAAATGAAATTCTGTCACTTACAACAATGTGTTTGCAACTTGGGGTCATTTTGTTAGATAAAATAGCACAGGAATATGAGCATCACATGTTCTCATTTATTTCTGGGAGCTAAAAATCAGAACAATTGAATTTATCAATATAGGGAATAGAAGGATGGTTACCAGAGGCTGGGAAGAGTAGTGAGGGGGGTTCAGGGGGAGGTGAGGAATGTTAATGGGTACAAAAAATAGAATGAATAAAACCTAATATTTGATAGCACAAGAGGACTATAGTCAATAATAATTTAATTTTACATTTTCAAACAAGTATAAGAGTATAATTGGATTGTTTGTAACACAAAAGAGAAATACTTGAGAAGATGGATACTCCATTTTCCATGATGTGGTTATTATACATTGCATGTCTATACCAAAATATCTCACGTACTCCATAAATCTATACATCTACTGTATACCCACAGAAAATGAAATAAAATAAAAATAAAAGAAGAGAAAGAAAAGATAATAATCGTTGGTGAGGATGTGAAGGAATTGAAACCTCCATATTTAGCTGGTCGGAATGAAAAATGGTACAGCCACTTTGGAAAACAGTTTGACAGACTATTCAAACATGGTTAAACATGGAGTGTGCATATAACTCAGCAGTTCTATACCTAGGGGTATATTCTTGTCTACAAGACAAATGAAAACACAAGCCCAAACAAAAGTTTGTATATGAATATTAATAGCAGTACTATTAGAAACAACACAGATGTTGATCAACTTATGAATGGATTAAAAATGTGGAATACCCATAAAAAGGGATATTATTGGCAACAAAAAATGAAGTGCTGATGTATATTACAACATGGATGGACCTTGAAAACATTATTCCAATGAAAGAAACCAGGCACAAAAGACCACATTTTGCATGATTCTACTTACATAAAATGCCAGTATAGGTAAATCTATAAAAGCAGAAAATACATCAGGGTTGCCTAGATCTGATGAAGTTGGAAGGAAACAGGGAGTGACTGCTAATGGATACAGGGTGTTTTGGGGAGGATGATGAAAATTTTAAAAAACTTATTATGGTAATGATTGCACTACTGTGAACATACTAAAAAACCATTAAGTTGTATACCTTAAAAGGATAAATTTTATGTTATGTGCATAATTTCTCATTAATTTTTTAAGAAAGTACTAAGACAAATAGATAAAGCCAACAAAGAAGTTAGTGACTTGAGAGTTTGGTTGAGGAATTTCACAGAAGGAATAGGAACATTAGAGTGGATTAAAGATGGTAATCACAAAATGTATACAGGATAGACTTGAAAGGGTCAATGTTCATGTATAGGAGTCACAGAAGAAGGAGGTAAAATTTAAGGCATATCTAGGCATGAAGGGAGGGGAAGAATAATGAGATGATTGTATGCAAAGACATCTGTTTTGTTGAAAAAATAGATAGCTTAACAAACTAAGAGAGACAAATAACACAAATATGAGTATTAAAAAGTTATCAATAACATCACATAAAATCAAATGTATAATTTAAACTGTCAGTCAAAAAATATATCTTTGAAGAGGAAAAATAGAAACCAAAACTAAAGGGACATAGAAAACATAAGATGTCAGAAATAAATCCCAATAAAACAATAATTACAATATACAATATAGATTAACTCAATGATCTAAAAACAGCAACTCCCATATTGCATGTTAAATCAAAAATAAGGTCCAGTGATATATTTATCGAGAGATACAGATTGATGATATAGGATGAAGAAGGGTTGAAAATGAAGGATGAACTTAAGTTCGGCTTTAGCTGCCACATTTTTTTTTCAAAACCTGTTATTTGATACTGGGTTTTGTCTCAGACTTTGGAAGGACACATAGTTGACTGTTCACTTCAATATTATTCTGCCATTCTTTCTTGATTTATATTCATATGAGATTTTTCAAACAAGATAAAATATCAGGTTTTACGTATCTAAAAGACTGCTTGAGGGAAATGCACTCTTTAATACCAACTTAACAGAACTTATTAACAATGAAGTGTGGCTTGCATAAAAAATAGGTTAGTTGTAGGTATCTGCTGAAATTTCTCTGCCTTTATAGTTCAGGGTTTTTTTTATAAGTCCACCTGCAAAGGTTCTCTCTTGTCAGAAAGATTCAGAGTCAGTTTTATAATCTATCTATTGATCATCTCTCTCTCTATATTTTATATGCAATGATCTTAAGTATGTATTTTTAAATATTCAGAAACATATTCAAAGAGTACACAAAGCCTCTGAGTAATTGCACAAATTATATTGTGCCATCACGTTGTCTAAGTCTGGATTTCAATGAGTGATATGTTTTTAATTTGGGAAATTTGGGAAAATAACTTGATAATATTACCATCAACAGCTGAAATTACCTGGCATCAGACACTTTCACTTTTCTACTAGCTTCAATGGAAAGTGGATATCTATTTAATATCCTAAGTGTGCAGTATTATGCCTGCAGGAGCAGTCTAAGCAGCTAACAGTGCTAAGAAATTATTTCTACATTAAAGTGTCAAACTTCTCAAATTTGACTGCTAAACAAAACTACAATAAAATTATCATTTTGGGATGAAATATCACACTATCACATTTGTTATTTGATGGTGATATTTCATCTTTGCCTCAGTCTTGGTCAAATATTAGTTTTTACATTTGGCTGTTCTCTGTTTGATAAAATTATGTGATCAGTATATTTCTCTAAGTAAATATATAGAAAAATACATTCCAGGCAAATATCATTCAATAGAAAACCTAGGGTAGCAATTATAAAATCAAACTAACACATCTTTATAGCCGGTAAATATATATTCATTTCAAGCACACATGGTCTAGTGAAAAATGTTACTGTGTTTAAGTTTGAAAACAAAGTCTCAAAAAATAACTAGCAAAATGATATAATTTAAAAAACTCATAATTTAGTTGCAATAAAATATGAAACTAAAAAAGAGGTGATAACTGAAAAAATTATACATCTGGGAATTTAAAAAGCACTAATAATTTTGGGGTTTATGCGGCACAGATAAAACAGTATGTGACAATCTGGATGGAAATGGAGGACATTATGTTAAGTGAAATAAGCCAGGTACAGAATGACAAATCTCGCATGTTCTCATTCACATGTGGGAGCTAAAATATAAAAAATTGAACTTGGAGATACAGAGTACAATGGTGGTTTTCAGAGTCTGGGAAGGGTTGTAGGAAGGTAGAAATAAAGAGGGGATTGTTAATGTGGACAAAAATACAGTTAGATAGAAGGAATAAGATCTAGTGTTCTGCAGCACAATACGGTGACTACAGTGAACAATAATTTATAGTATATTTCAAAATAACTAAAAGAATCAAAGTTTCTAACAAAAAGAAATGATAAATGCTTGAGGTAGTAGATACTTCAGTTACCCCAATTTGACCATTATACATTGTATGCTTTTATCAAAATATCATATGTACTCCATATGTAAAACTATTATGTAAACACAATAATTAAAATTAAATTTTTAAAAATAAATAAGCAAAAAAATCACAGAAAAGACCCAACTATTCAACAACAAAAGTTTGGTTAAATCAATTAAAATATAGCTCTATGATGGAACAGTAACAGCTATTAGAACAGTGCTGTAGAATAATAACATGGAAAAATAGCCATGCTATACAATTAACTAAAAAAGAAACCATTTGTAGTACTTGAACACCAATAATAATTGTATTTTATAAAAACATATAGATATATGTGCATAAAATGAAAATAAAATAATATTTTAAAAAACAGCTTGCAGAGAGAAATTTGTAGTTTGTATTTAAAATGATTGAATGCCAAAGAGCCAAATATTTAACCCTAAAAGTAAGAAAATAGGAACAAAATAAACTCATACAATAAAATAGAGAAAAATGTGGAACAGATATAGAAAATTGAAAATCAGTTTTTTGTAAAGAATCATAAGTGAGGCAATCCTACAGCATGACAGATCAAGAAAATATGTAGATAGAGAATGTTAAAAGAGAACTAGTCAGACACAACAAGGTTAAAACATGCTAAAAATATTGAGAACAGCAATACATTTGAAAACTGAAAAGTATAAAAACATTTATTTAAAAATATATGCCAAAATTGGTATAAGAAAAAATGAACACTTGATATTATTGAAAATGCTAAGAAGCTAAATTGGCAAGAATATAATTTAAGGGCCAAGTCTTGTAAAATATATACTAAACAAAAAAGGCTCCAGATTCAGACAGTTTTTATGAATACGTAGTATCAACCAAACTTTTCAGCAAAATGTTATCCCTATCTTCTCTAAGTTGTGCCAGAAAATAGAAATGGGAAAGCTCTGAACTTATTTTATAATGCTAATAAAACTTTAATTTCAAAGCTGATTAAAGATAACGATAAGGAGTGTGTTCAGCTTCTAGTAACAGAAAAAATAATTTACAATGGTTTAAATAAATAGAGATTTATTTTCCCTCATAAAACACCCAGAGGTATGATTTTTTTTTTATTCATTCAGCTACTTAATGATGAAATAAGAGACTCAGGCTCATTTTTAACTTTCTACTCTTGTCACCCTACGGGTTGACTTCCAACCTCATTTTTGTAATCTTATGGTTGCAAGTGGTGTGTTGCAGCTCCACAGTTTATAACCACTTTTAAGACAATGACAGAGGAGAAAGGGCAAGCCAGTCACATTCCTACTTTTTCATTTATACCACTAAAATAAGAGCTCTCCCATAAATCTCCTCTGTATACTTCTGCCCAAAAGTTTGGAAAACTAGGGGCATGACTGTTTTGATTTACTTACATCAGAGGTTCTCCAAGTGTGATCTGGGAACTCCCCTCTTTTCAGGAAATCTGCAAGTTCAAAACAATTTTCATAATAATACCAAGATGTTATTTGCCATTTTCACTCAGTTTTATTTTTTTTTTCAGAAGTGTGTAGTGCAGTTTCCCGAGATTACCTGATGTATGATCATGTCAATGCTCTGATGGTTATGGGATGTATACTCACTCATTTTTGTGTTTTAAACATTTATCTGTTTTAATTTCTAGTAAAACAAGTATCAATAGACTTAGCCCACATAAATAAAAGCTCGTTGGGATTCTTGATACTTTTTGAAAATATAAAAGGGATCTGAAAAAAGAGGTTTGAAAACTGCTGGCTTAGATTGATCAAGATTCATGAACTACTAAGATCATTGTACTGAATACATTAGAATTTTAATAGCAAAGAAGACATGAGGGTTTGGTATTGAATAGGGAGCTAATGAAGTCTGACCAGTTTATAAAGAAAACAAAATTATAGGACTACTCAAATTAAAAACATAGACAATTCCTAAATGAATTATTATAAAAATGACAGTAATATTAATATTACAAATTAATATATCATGACCAAGTAGAATTTATTTCTGAAATGCCTTGATGGTTCATTATCAAAAAAGATATTAATGTAATTCAACATATAAATAGTCTAACTTATTAAAATTGCAATTAACTCAGTATGAGCTAAAGTTCAAAATCAATTTTATAATAAAAATTATCAGAAAATCATGAACAAAAGGGAAATTTCACTTGATACAGAGTATTTACCAAAGTATTTTAAGCAAACACCATGCTAAATGCATTTTTTAAGATTAGGGACAAGATAAGAATATCCTTCATCACTGCAACAGGATAATACAGGTTTGAAGAGCCTGGCTATGTTATCTTCAGATGATATGATTATCTGCATAGCCCAACAGAATCAACAACTAATTAAAGCTAGAAAAGAACTAGCTCAATATGAAATAATCTTACAAATATTATTAGCATTTTTCCAATCTATTACTAAGCAACTAGAAACTTCAATTGAGAACACAAGAAACTGACACTTATTAACTTAGACATCTGAGCTCTTTTTCCTAGTGTAGCTATTAGGAGAGGGATAATATGTCATTTAATTAATGTTTGCTGATAATCAAATATTGCAAAGCACCATTCTAGGTGATTGGCATACAAAGTTGTCAAAAAGACAAAATATCAGCCTTGCTTTAAGGGAACTGCCAAGTAAAATGAGAAAGATAGGTATCAAGGAGAGTACATTTTTATGCTTACATATAATACAATAATAAAACACATTTTTCTTAACAATATTGCTTTTAAAACTAAGTTTTCAACTCAAGTAAAGATTCATAAAACAATATTTTTTTCCGCTTGAGAATACTAGTAACTTTCTTAGAAGTACCTATCCAATTATCTGACATCAATTAAGCATTCATTGTAACCTTACAGCCAGTAGTAGTACGTGCAGGTCTTTTAGACAGAAATTAGAAAATATACTTCTTGAAGATGAGGTCCTTAGAAACTAGCTAAGGAGATAAAACACAGGCACACTAAACAACATGATAGCCATTACAAAATAACGATTATCCTGTGCAGTAAAACCTCTGCAATGAGAGCTAAGTAGAAGCCAATCTAAATTATTAAACTATATACATTTTTCTTCCAAGAGTATGAAGCAACTCACACTAAGCTAAATCATGTTCCATAAATTAAAGTATGCAAAATAATTATGCATGAATAAGAATTATTTAATTTTAAAATATTAAGCCATATGTAAGGATATTTTTTCCAAATTCCAAAACCATGCCTACTGCTCTGGTTAGACATTCAAACCCTAGTTTTTGATATGAATGATGCCATTTAAGTGCTGGCTCCTTAAAAACCTCAAGTACTTTCACATTCCTTGTTCACATGTGTTTCTATTCCTACAGTAATATAATTTCTAGGGAAAAATAAACATCAGTCCCCAAACTTTCTATTTAATGATAATTCATCATGTTATGGTAAAATCCAATTTAAAAGCAGTTTTATTTTTGTACAAATTTAATCTATACAATGTAGAATCCCTGAATTTACTTAGAATAACATTACCAGTTGTTTTTGTATATAATTACATAATAATCTTAATGAAAGATGAAAAATGAAAAAATATTTTATCATTCCACATAGATTTAATGAACAAACAAAACCAGTTACTGAATAGGTTTTTCCTAGTTTTAGTGTTGTGCTTACAAACCAGTCAGGGGGAGGTGGAAAGAGGCATCCTAATTTAGAGCTTGCTGATTTCTTTTTTTTTTTATTGACACTTTATTAGATTTACTTTTTATTTTTTAATTTTTTTTCATTTTTTATTATACTTTAAGTTCTAGGATACATGTGCACAACGTGCAGGTTTGCTACATATGTATACATGTGCCATGTTGGTGTGCTGCACACATTAACTCGTCATTTACATTAAGTATTCCTCCTAATGCTATCCCTCCCCCCGCCCCCACCCCATGACAGGCTCCAGTGTGTGATGTTCCCCACCCTGTGTCCAAGTGTTCTCACTGTTCAGTTCCCACCTATGAGTGAGAACATGTGGTGTTTGGTTTTCTGTCCTTGCAACAGTTTGCTAAGAATGATGGTTTCCAGCTTCATCCATGTCCCTACAAAGGACATGAAGTCATCCTTTTTTATGGCTGCATAGTATTCCATGGTGTATATGTGCCACATTTTCTTAATCCAGTCTATCATTGATGGACATTTGGGTTGGTTCCAAGTCTTTGCTATTGTGGATAGTGCCACAAAAAACGTACGTGTGCATGTGTCTTTATAGTAGCATGATTTATATTCCTTTGGGTATATACCCAGTAATGGGATGGCTGGGTCAAATGGTATTTCTAGTTCTAGATCCTTGAGGAATTGCCATACTGTCTTCCACAATGGTTGAACTAGTTTACAGTCCCAACAACGGTGTAAAAGTGTTCCTATTTCTCCACATCCTCTCCAGCATCTGTTGTTTCCTGACTTTTTAATGATCGCCATTTTAACTGGTGTGAGATGGTATCTCATTGTGGTTTTGATTTGCATTTCTCTGATGGCCAGTGATGATGAGCATTTTTTCATGTGTCTGTTGGCTGCATAAATGTCTTCTCTTGAGAAGTGTCTGTTCATATCCTTTGCCCACTTTTTGATGGGGTTGACTTTTGTCTTGTAAATTTGTTTAAGTTCTTTGTAGATTCTGGATATTAGCCCTTTGTTAGATGGGTAGATTGTAAAAATTTTCTCGCATTCTGTAAGTTTCCTGTTCACCCTGATGGTAGTTTCTTTTGCAGTGCAGAAGCTCTTTAGTTTAATTAGATCCCATTTGTCAATTTTGTCTTTTGTTGCCATTGCTTTTGTGTTTCAGACATGAAGTCCTTGCCCATGCCTATGTCCTGAATGGTATTGCCTAGGTTTTCTTCTAAGATTTTGATGGGTTTAGGTCTAACATTTAAGTCTTTATTCCATCTCGAATTAATTTTTGTATAAGGTGTAAGGAAGGGATCCAGTTTCAGCTTTCTACATATGGCTAGCCTGTTAGAAAACTGAGAAGAGCATCATTTATTAAATAGGGAATCCTTTCCCCATTTCTTGTTTTTGTCAGATTTGTCAAAGATCAGATGGTTGTAATGTGTGGTATTGTTTCTGAGGGCTCTGTTCTGTTCCCTTGGTCTATCTCTCTGTTTTGGTACCAGTACCATGCTGTTTTGGTTACTGTAGCCTTGTAGTATAGTTTGAAGTCAGGTAGCATGATGCCTCCAGCTTTGTTCTTTTGGCTTAGGATTGTCTTGGCAATGTGGGCTCTTTTTTGGTTCCGTATGAACTTGAAAGTAGTTTTTTCCAATTCTGTGAAGAAAGTCATTGGTAGCTTGATAGGGATGGCATTAAATCTATAAATTACCTTGGACAGTATGGCCATTTTCACAATATTGATTCTTCCTATCTGTGAGCATGGAATGTTCTTCCATTTGTTTGTGTCTTCTTTTATTTCATTGAGCAGTGGTTTGTAGTTCTCCTTGAAGAGGTCCTTCACATCCCTTCTAACTTGGATTCCTAGGTATTTTATTCTCTTTGAAGCAATTGTGAATGGGAGTTCACTCATGATTTGGCTGTTTGTCTGTTATTGGTATATAAGAATGCTTGTGATTTTTGCACATTGATTTTGTACCCTGAGACTTTGCTGAAGTTGCTTATCAGCTTCAGGAGATTTTGGGCTGAGATAATGAGGTTTTCTAAATATACAATCATGTCATCTGCAAACAGGGACAATTTGACTTCCTCTTTTTGTAATTGAATACCCTTTATTTCTTTCTCCTGCCTGATTGCCCTGGCCAGAACTTCCAACACTACGTTAAATAGGAGTGGTGAGAGAGGTGATCCCTGTCTTGTGCCAGTTTTCAAAGGGAATGCTTCCGGTTTTTGCCCATTCAGTATGATACTGGCTGTGGGTTTGTCATAAATAGCTCTTATTATTTTGAGATATGTCCCATCAATACCTAGTTTATTGGTTTATTGAGAGTTTTTAGCGTGATGAGCTTGCTGATTTCTAAGGTGTTAATACCTCCACTGTGGTAAATTTCAAATTACCAATGGTTGATTAGCATTTCTTAATATTGACAGCATTTCCTTGCCCATGCCTATGTCCTGAATGGTAATGCCTAGGTTTTCTTCTAGGGTTTTTATGGTTTTAGGTCTAACGTCAAAAAGCAATGGCAACAAAAGCCAAAGTTGACAAATGGGATCTAATTAAACTAAAGAGCTTCTGCACAGCAAAAGAAACTACTGTCAGAGTGAAAAGGCAACCTACAGAATGGGAGAAAATTTTCGCAACCTACTCATCTGACAAAGGGCTGATATCCAGAATCTACAAAGAACTCAAACAAATTTACAAGAAAAAAACAAACAACCCCATCAAAAAGTGGGCAAAGGATATGAACAGACACTTCTCAAAAGAAGACATTTAAGCAGCCAAAAGACACATGAAAAAATGCTCATCATCATTGGCCATCAGAGAAATGCAAATCAAAACCACAATGAGATACCATCTCACACCAGTTAGAATGGTGATCATTAAAAAGTCAGGAAACAACAGATGCTGGAGAGGATGTGGAGAAATAGGAACACTTTTACACTGTTGGTGGGACTGTAAAGTAGTTCAACTATTGTGGAAGTCAGTGTGGCGATTCCTCAGGGACCTAGAACTAGAAATATCATTTGACCCAGCCATCCCATTACTGGGTATATACCCAAAGGACTATAAATCATGCTGCTATAAAGACACATGCACACGTATGTTTATTGCGGCACTGTTCACAATAGCAAAGACTTGGAACCAACCCAAATGTCCAACGATGATAGACTGGATTAAGAAAATGTGGCACATATACACCATGGAATACTATGTAGCCATAAAAAATGATGAGTTCATGTCCTTTGTAGGGACATGGATGAAATTGGAAATCGTCATTCTCAGTAAACTATTGCAAGGACAAAAAAACCAAACACTGCATGTTCTCACTCATAGATGGGAATTGAACAATGAGAACACATGGACACAGGAAGCGGAACATCACACTCTGGGGACTGTTGTGGGGTGGGGGGAGGGGGTAGGGATAGCATTAGGAGATATACCTAATGCTAGATGACGAGTTAATGGGTGCAGCACACCAGCATGGCACATGTATACATATGTAACTAACTGGCACATTGTTCACATGTACCCTAAAACTTAAAGTATAATAATAATAATAATAATAATAATAATAATAAAATATTGAAAGCATTTCCTTAATACTTACAACCCAGCATACCACCATGTATTTTTTTTATTATTTTAAATTTAATTTAATTTTTAATTTTCGTTGGTACACAGTAAGTGTATATATTTACGGGGTGCATGAGATGTTTTGATACATGCCTGCCAAGTGAAATAGGCACATCATGGAGAATGGTGTTTCTGTCACCTCAAGCATTTATCCTTTGAGTTACAAACAATGTAATTATACTTCTTAAGTTATTTTTAAATGTTCAATTTTTATTGACTATAGTGATCTTGTTGTGCTATCAAATAGTAAGCCTTATTATTTCTTTAAACTATTTTTTTGTGCCCATTAACCATCGCCACCTCCCCAGCATCAGACCCCCACTACCCTTCTCAGCTTCTGGTAACCATTCTTTTACTCTTTATGTCCACAGGTTCAACTGTTTTGATAATTAGATCCCACAAATCAGTGCAAACTTACAATATTTGTCTTTCTGTGTCTGGCTTATCTTACTTAACATAATGATCTCCATTTCCATCCATGCTGTTGCAAATGGCTGGATCTCATTCTTTTTTATGGCTGAATAGTACTCAATTGTGTATATGTAGCAGATTTCCTTTATCCACTCATCTACTGATGGTCACTTAGGTTGCTTCCAAATCTTAGCTATTGTAAACAGTGCTGCAACAAGCGCGGGACTGCAGATATCTTTTTGATATACTGATTTCCTTTCTTTTGTCTATATTCCCCCCAGTGGGATTGCTGGATCATATGATAGCTCAATTTTTAGTTTTTTTGAGGAACCTCCAAACTGTTCCCTATAGTGGTTGTACTAATTTACCTTTCCACCAATGGTATCTGAGGGTTCCCTTTTCTCCACATCCTTGCCAGCACTTGTTATTGCTTGTCTTTAGGATATAAGCCATTTTAACTGGGGTGAGGTGATATCTCCTTGTAGTTTTGATTTGCATATCCCTGATGATAAATGATGTTGCACACCTTTTCACATGCCGCCACCTATATTTTAAAAGCACACTCTCTCCATCGCCTCTTGGAGTTACTACATCTCTTCTCATTTGGATTACTAGAAAGCAGTGAGGAACTGTGATTTTTACAGACAATTCAAGTGTGAAAATTTCATATTTCTCATACATTTTTTCAGGAAAAAATGTTTGCAAATATCATCTGAGATATTTAAAATCTTACTATCTATGAAAACCTACCTTTAACCACCATTTGCATTTAAAATAGATTTTGAATTTTGTGACAAGATGTATATATGGATTTTGTATTTGTTAATGACATGTTTTCTGTATTTTACTGAGTTTTCATACTTCACAGAGTAGCCTCCTCTGAGCAAAGACTTAATCTTCTCCTCAGTATCCTTCAGCCAAATTCATTTCTCTCAAATGTTCTTTTTATGTTAGCCTAAAAAACCCCATTGTTTCATAAAAACTTAGCATTTACTTGTTGCAAGACAGTTTGGACTTGGTTTATCTAAGATTCCACTGTATGGGTTATTGATGACAGAAATATTGGAGAGCCAGAGCCAGATCCTATTATTTGTAACAATTGTTCTGCGAATGTTTTTTCATCAGGCTTCAGAAAACTGCCAGTTCTCTGGGGCCCTTTGATATAACTAGGTTAGTGCCACAAACAGGTAGTAGTGCACTGGCTTTGAGCTTCGAGTGTCTGCAAAGCAAGATAAAATCTAGGCAGTTTGATGGCCTGTATTTCCAGCTGTCTGCCTCCTTTGTGCATGGAGAAATAAGGTTGACACCCTGATTATTTTCGTTTTCCAGAAAGACTATGGGAAATGTGCTCTTTTAAATTACAATGGCAGTTTTACATTAAATCTTTTGTTAAGGTCTTTACATTTAGTCTCCATAAATCTTGATAGGCCACTTAGGTAGGTGAACTAAGAATATGACATGCAGTAATGCAACATGAGGGGCCCAATGAGGATTTACAGAGATTAAAATGTTTTGAAAATGTGTTGAAAATAAATGTACATAAAAAAGACACAACTTAAAAGTGTTCAGTTTTGGTAAGAAAAGGAAAAATAACTGATTTATATCCTGGGCCATGGACAAATATATATAACATATATTGAAATCTCAAAGAATGAATTCCCTGTGGGAAATTTTTTCATTTGATACACTATGTTATTAAAAAAAGTACAGGTAATGAGGGAAGGTATGATCTTACATGTATGAGTTTGAAAATATCTGTAAAGATGTTTATACCTTTACAAACATGACTGAATGAAGTTGGTTTTGATGAGATGGCAATTTCAACTTGAACAATGATTTATTGATTATATAACATATGCAAATTATCCTATAGGTTCTATTATGACCACAGATTTGAATAAACTGCATGCCCTTAGCCATTAATAGCTTTTAATTTAGTAGAGGAAATAAAATTACTTGTAACTGTTTTACTATGTGACAGGCCATGTTAAGAGCTTAATGGTAGTGCAAATAAATGGTGAGAATTTGGCAAAGAACTTAGATCTGGGCAGAGGGTACCTAGGAATATTTTGATAAACATCTATCTTTGAAGCAGAATATTAAAAGACACCTTGGGGTTGTATAGGAGATATCTGGGGAGCAGGGACATTCAAAATGTAGAACTTCTCTTTTTATTGTTCATTTATTAATCAAGCTTTATTGATTATTCTATTAGATGCCAGATGCTGTTTGAGGTGCTGGTAGGAAGCCTGAGTAAAGCCTGTTCTCTGCCCTCAAAGATACGATAGGGACTGTTCAAGTTAGGGAAGCAATTTATCTTTGTTCATTTTTCCTCCTGTAGTATAAATGTATTGATACCATTTTTTTAAAATTGTCTTTAAACCAGTTAGAGTTCTAAATGGAGAAGATAATGGAGGGAGCAAAGGTGGGAAATTCATAAATCAGAGAAGATAGCATATAAATGTAATGGAATAGGGAAGAGCTCAGGTGTGCCTTTATTTAACGCCAACAGAATTCTTGAACATTAGCACCAGTGCTGTGAGGTACCAAGCATACAAGCATACTTGACATCTTCCTTTTAGCACTCTTATTGGTGACAATAATTATTTTAGGGGGTATCATGTTATATTTAGTAATAATCTTTCTGTTGATTTGTTCTTAATAAACCAATTTAGAAAGAGAATTACTTGCAATTGTAAAGCTATTTAAATTTATTAAAATATTTTGTGTGTGAACAGAAACTGCACTTAACCAATTGTATTAGTTTCCTGTTGCTGCTGTAACAAGTTACCACACTCTTAGCAATGTGAAACAACACAAATTTATTATCTTACGCTTCTGGAGACCAGAAGTGCAAAATGGGTTTAATGAAGCTAAACCAAGCTGTTGGGCAGGGCTATGTTCTTTCTGGAGCCTCCAGAGGAGAATCCCCTTCCTTATCTTTTCCTGCTTCTAAAGGCTGCGCTCCTTCCTTCTTCAAATCCAGCAATCACACCACTCCAACCTCTGCTTTCCTTATTACAGCTCCTCTCACTCTCCTGACTTCTTTTTCTTTCTTTTTTTTTTTTTCCACTTACAGAGACCCTTGTGATTACATTGGGCACACCTGGATAATCCAGACAACGTTTCCATCACAAGACCCTTAATTTAAGCACATCTTCAAAGTCTATTTTTTTCCCTGTAAAATGATATTTTCACACATTACAGGGATTGGGGCATAGATATTTTGTCGGAGGTCATTATTCTGCCTATCATACCAATTACAAATATTTTATTATTATTATTATTATTTTGAGATGGAGTCTCATTCTGTTGCCCAGGCTGGAGTGCAGTGGAGCGATCTCTGCTCACTGCAACCTCTTCCACCTGGGTTCAAGCAGTTCTCCTCCATCAGCCTGCTGAGTAGCTGGGATTACAGGCGCCTGCCACCGTGCCCGGCTAATTTTTGTATTTTTAGTAGAGACAGGTTTCACCGTATTGGCCAGCCTGGTCTTGAACTCCTGACCTTGTGATCTGGCCGCCTTGGCCTCCCAAAGTGCTGGGATTACAGGCGTGATCCACCGCTCCTGGCCAGTTGTTATGTTTTATAATTTATCCTTTGTCTCACTGGTATACACTGAAATCATAAATGAACAGAATTGAAAAAAATTCAGTTCTATTTCTTTGTAAAATCACTGTATTTTATTTGTTTATTTCTAATCTAACAAACTGAATATAAGAATATATATATATATATATTTCTAGTCTAAATAAACACAGGGTTTTCACAGGCATTAGAGAAATGAACAGCACCAAGAGTGAGCTTGAAAAATCCTGAGCTGCTATGAATTTACACCTGATATGAATATGTATAGTTGAGTTCACATGTATCAGTGGCAACCGTATAAATGGAATTTGCCTGAAATCACTTTAATGTAGAAAATAATATTTATTAAAGGATACACAGTAAAAATGTGCTCATGTTAATCTTATTTGTAGATTAGTAAAACTCAACAGTAACTGTAGCAATTGTTTAAAATTTAGATTATCAAAAGTTTTTTTTTTTTCATGGAGGAGTAATTTACCCACATTCTTTAGAGTCACTGGTGCGTGGTGATGATGAAAAGTAGGCTGACGTGCTTCTCTTTATTGCCTCTACACCAGGGGGATTGTTCCTGTTGCCCCACCATTGGTTTGCTGCTGGATCAATTGTATTCTTTCCAGGTGTATTTTTTTAAACGCATGTTTAGCAAAGTCTTATCTTAGCACTTTGCAGTAAGTGCCGCTATATACTGAGACATATGCATTCCTAAAAATCACTGTAAAAAATCACATAATCAAGATCTCAGTGCTTATAGGAAAAATGAGGTTAGAGACAAAACACTCAAAATCCTCTTCAGTGATACATACAAAAATATATAGAAATCTAATAAAATGGTGGAATAGTTTACAGATTTTAAATGGCAAACAAATAGATAAATAGTTAAATATGACAATTCGTGTTGATAGATCTGAAGTTTACCTGGAAATGGACCTCAGAAGCACTGTAGCTTGAGAATTATCGTGACATGGTGAAGGGAGGATGTTTGAAATCAGATGGAAATTTGTAATGCCAGATATGGACAGATGTGGCTCCTAACACACTCGGTGAATTGAGATAATGGGTCAATGTTTGAGGTGTGAACTCTTATGCATTTTATTTTTTATTTTTTTACTTTTTGAGACAGGGTCTCACTCTTTCACCCAGGCTGGAGTGGAGTGGTGCAACCTTAGCTCACTGTGGCCTCAACCTTCCAGGCTCAAGTAACCCTCTCACCTTAGCCTCTTGACTATCTGGGAATAAGAGTGCACACCACCACACCTGGGTAAATTTTGGTTTTTTTTGCAGATACGGGGCCTCGCTATGTAGCCTGGGCTCGTCTTGTACTCCTGGGCCCAAGTGAACCTCCTGTCTTGGTTCCCAAAGTGCTAGAATTATAAGTGTGAGACACAGTACCTGGCCCTGTATCTACATGTGCATATATATGGCTATGTGCCTTGGTTCAGGACAGTGCAGCTTTCTGCCATCACCTACCTTTTCTTCACTGATGAAATTGTGGATGAGCAAATATGAAATGTATATCATGCTCACATTGTTTGTTAACATAGCAATCTTATTGGAACAAACTTGTGTTTTCAAAGCAAGCATTACAGCAGAACCTACTAGAACATCACTTAATCTGTGAGTGGCAACATGAAGAAATATAAAACCCTGTTTTCCAATCTGTTGTTTGGAGAACAGGCTTTGTATTGGGAGATCAAATGGTTTCATGTAAGCAACACAGCACCCATCATAAAATTTCACTTTCTGTTATTGGTGTATAAGAGTGCTTGTGATTTTTGCACATTGATTTTGTATCCTGAGACTTTGCTGAATTTGCTTATCAGCTTAAGGAGATTTTGGGCTGAGACGATGGGTTTGTCTAAATATGCAATCATGTCACCTGCAAATAGGGACAATTTGACTTCCTCTTTTCCTAATTGAATACCCTTTATTTCTTTCTCCTGCCTGATTGTCCTGGCCAGAACTTCCAACACTATGTTGAATAGGAGTGGTGAGAGAGGTGATCCCTGTCTTGTGCCAGTTTTCAAAGGGAATGCTTCCAGTTTTTGCCCATTCAGTGTGATATTGGCTGTGGGTTTGTCATAAATAGCTCTTATTATTTTGAGATATGTCCCATCAATACCTAATTTATTGAGAGTTTTTAACATGAAGCACTGTTGAATTTTGTCAAAGGCCTTTTCTGCATCTATTGAGATAACCATGTGGTTTTTGTCTTTGGTTCTGTTTATATGCTGGATTACGTTTATTGATTTGCATATGTTGAACCAGCCTTGCATCCCAGGGATGAAGTCCACTTGATCATGTGGATAAGCTTTTTGATGTGCTGCTGGATTCAATTGGCCAGTATTTATTGAGGATTTTTGCATTGATGTTCATCAGGGATATTGGTCTACAATTCTCTTTTTTTGTTGTGTCACTGCCAGACTTTGGTATCAGGATGATGCTAGCCTCATAAAATGAGTTAGGGAGGATTCCCTCTTTTTCCACTGATTGGAATAGTTTCAGAAGGAATGGTACCATCTCCTCCTTGTACCTGTGGTAGAATTCGGCTGTGAATCTGTCTGGTCCTGGACTTTTTTGGTTGGTAGGCTATTAATTATAGCCTCAGTTTCAGAGTCTGTTATTGGTCTATTCAGAGATTCAGCTTCTTCCTGGTTTAGTCTTGGGAGGGTGTATGTGTCCAGGAATTTATCCGTTTCTTCTAGATTTTCTAGTTATTTGCGTAGAGGTGTTTATAGTATTCTCTGATGGTAGTTTGTATTTCTGTGGGATTGGTTGTGATATCCCCTTTATCATTTTTTATTGTGCCTATTTGATTCTTCTCTCTTTTCTTCTTTATTAGTCTTGCTAGCAGTCTATCAATTTTGTTGATCTTTTCAAAAAACCAGCTCCCAGATGCATTGAATTTTGAAGGGTTTTTTGTGTCTCTATCTCCTTCAGTTCTGCTCTGATCTTAGTTATTTCTTGCCTTCTACTAGCTTTTGAATGTGTTTGCTCTTGTTTCTCTAGTTCTTTTAATCGTGATGTTAGGGTGTCAATTTTAGATCTTTCCTGCTTCCTCTTGTGGGCATTTAGTGCTATAAATTTCCCTCTACACACTGCTTTAAATGTGTCCCAGAGATTCTGGTATGTTGTGTCTTTGTTCTCATCGGTTTCAAAGAACATCTTTATTTCTGCCTTCATTTCATTATGTACCCAGTAGTCATTCAAGAGCAGGTTGTTCAGTTTCGATGTAGTTGAGTGGTTTTGAGTGAGTTTCTTAATCCTGAGTTCTAGTTTGATTGCACTGTGGTCTGAGAGACAGTTTGTTATAATTTCTGTTCGTTTATATTTGCTGAGGAGAGCTTTACTTCCAACTATGTGGTCAATTTTGGAATAAGTGCGATGTGGTGCTGAGAAGAAAGTATATTCTGTTGATTTGGGGTGGAGAGTTCTGTAGATGTGTATTAGGTCCGCTTGGTGCAGAGCTGAGTTCAATTCCTGGATATCCTTGTTAACTTTCTGTCTCGTTGATATATCTAATGTTGACAGTGGGGTGTTAAAGTCTCCCATTATTATTGTGTGGGAGTCTAAGTCTCTTCATAGGTCTCTAAGGACTTGCTTTATGAATCTGGGTGCTCCTGTATTGGGCGCATATATATTTAGGATAGTTAGCTCTTCTTGTTGAATTGATCCCTTTACCATTATGTAATGGCCTTCTGTGTCTCTTTTGATCTTTGTTGGTTTAAAGTCTGTATTATCAGAGACTAGGATTGCAACCCCTGCCTTTTTTTGTTTTCCATTTGCTTGGTAGATCTTCCTCTATCCCTTTATTTTGAGCCTATGTGTGTCTCTGCACGTGAGATGGGTCTCCTGAATACAGCACACTGATGGGTCTTGACTCTATCCAATTTGCCAGTCTGTGTCTTTTAATTAGAGCATTTAGCCCCTTTACATTTAAGGTTATGTTGTTATGTGTGAATTTGATCCTTTCATTTTGATGTTAGCTGGTTATTTTACTCGTTAGTTGATGCAGTTTCTTCCTAGCCTCGATGGTCTTTACAGTTTGGCATGTTTTTGCAGTGGTTGGTACTGGTTGTTCCTTTCCATGTTTAGTGCTTCCTTCAGGAGCTCTTTTAGGGCAGGCCTGGTGGTGACAGAATCTCTCAGCATTTGCTGATATATAAAGGATTTTATTTCTCCTTCACTTATGAAGCTTAGTTTGGCTGGATATGAAATTCTGGGTTGAAAATTCTTTTCTTTAAAATTGTTGAATATTGGCCTCCTCTCTCTTCTGGCTTGTAGAATTTCTGCCAAGAGATCCACTGTTAGTCTGATGGGCTTCCCTTTGTGGGTAACCTGACCTTTCTCTCTGGCTGCCCTTAACATTTTTTCTTTCATTTCAACTTTGGTGAATCTGACAATTATGTTTCTTGGAGTTGCTCTTCTTGAGGAGTATCTTTGTGGCGTTCTCTGTATTTCCTGAATTTGAATGTTGGCCTGCCTTGCTAGGCTGGGGAAGTTCTCCTGGATGATATCCTGCAGAGTGTTTTCCAACTTGGTTCCACTGTCCCTGTCACTTTCAGGTACACCAATGAGACATAGATTTGGTCTTTTCACATAGTCCCATATTTCTTGGAGGCTTTGTTCATTTCTTTTTATTCTTTTTTCTATAAACTTCTCTTCTCACTTCATTTCATTCATTTGATCTTTGATCACTGATACCGTTTCTTCCAGTTGATCGAATCGGCTACTGAAGCTTGTGCATTCATCACGTAGTTCTCATGCCATGGTTTTCAGCTCCATCAGGTCCTTTAAGGACTTCTCTACACTGCTTATTTGAGTTAGCCAGTCATCTAATCTTTTTTCAAGGTTTTTAGCTTCTTTGCGATGGGTTCGAACTTCCTCCTTTAGCTTGGAGAAGTTTTATCATCTGAAGCTTTCTTCTCTCAACTTGTCAAAGTCATTCTCTGTTGAGCTTTGTGAACAGAGCCCTCAGAAATAATACCACACGTCTACAACCAACTGATCTTTGACAAACCTGACAAAAACAAGAAATGGGGAAAGGATTACCTATTTAATAAATGGTGCTGGGAAAACTGGCTAGCCATATGTAGAAAGCTGAAACTGGATCCCTTCCTTACACCTTATGCAAAAATTAATTCTAGATGGATTAAAGACTTAAGTGTTAGACCTAAAACCATAAAAACCCTAGGAGAAAACCTAGGCAATACCATTCAGGACATAGGCATGGGCAAGGACTTCATGTCTAAAACAGAAAAGCAATGGCAACAAAAGCCAAAATTGACAAATGGGATCTAATTAAACTAAAGAGCTTCAGCACTGCAAAAGAAACTACCATCAGAGTGAAAAGGCAACCTACAGAATGGGAGAAAATTTTTGCAATCTACTCATCTGACAAAGGGCTAATGTCCAGAATCTACAAAGAACTCAAGCAAATTTACAAGAAAAAACAAACATCCCCATCAAAAAGTGGGCGAAGGATATGAACAGACACTTCTCAAAAGAAGATATTTATGCAGCCAACAGACACATGAAAAAATGCTCATCATCACTGGCCATCAGAGAAATGCAAATCAAAACAACAATGAGATACCATCTCACACCAGTTAGAATGGTGATCATTAAAAAGTCAGGAAACAACAGGTGCTGGGGAGGATGTGGAGAAATAGGAACACTTTTACACTGTTGATGGGACTGTAAGCTAGTTCAACCATTGTGGAAGACAGTGTGGTGATTCCTCAAGGATCTAGAACTAGAAATACCATTTGACCCAGCCATCCCATTACTGGGTATATACCCAAAGGATTATAAATCATGCTGCTATAAAGACACATGCACACGTATGTTTATTGTGGCACTATTCACAATAGCAAAGACTGGGAACCAACCCAAAAGTCCATCAGTGATAGACTGGATTAAGAAAATGTGGCACATATACACCATGGAATACTATGCAGCCATAAAAAATGATGAGTTCATGTCCTTTGTAGGGACACGGATGAAGCTGGAAACCATCATTCTCAGCAAACTATCGCAATGACAAGAAAACCAAACACTGCATGTTCTCACTCACAGGTGGGAATTGAACAATGAGAACACTTGGACACAGGAAGGAGAACATCACACACCGGGGCCTGTCATGGGGTGGGGGGAGGGGGGAGGGATAGCATTAGGAGATATACCTAATGTAAATGACGAGTTAATGTGTGCAGCACACCAACATGGCACATGTATACATATGTAAGAAACCTGCACATTGTGCACATGTACGCTAGAACTTAAAGTATAAAAAAAAAAGTTCCTTTTCCAACTTGCTCAGGTGTCACTAACAGATCCTAGTACTTTCCCCTCTTAGGCCGTAACTTGACTTCAGAATCTTTTTAAAGACAAACTTCCTGGAAGCCATTGCCAATCAATTAGATATGACATCAAAAGTTGAAAAATTTTTTTTGCCGTCATTGATGGTAGAAAAAAGCATGAGTTCTGAAGTCATTTAGACCTGGGTTCAAATCTTGGCCCTTAGCTCTTACTTGTGTCTTGAAGAGTTACCTAAACTCTCTTGGCTTTTGTTTTCTATAAAACTAAGCTAATAATACCTATTTTACATGGTGTGAGAATGAAATAAGAACATATAGACAGAGTACCTGGTACAGTGCCTGCAGGTCTGCCTTGAGTAGTTTCCTTAAATTTCCCTTAACCAAATAAAGAAACAGAGAAACAAATTGACTTTGAGCCTTGGGCTGGGAGTAGAGGGTAAAAAGAAGGTGTGTCAGAAAACACGTAAACCAAAGTGACCATCTTTATTTCAGCATGGGTGCTTTACTGTGCCCTGTTCATAAAGACAGATCAATTTGAGTGAAATGTTCCCAAACCACAGACACATGGAACATGTTATCTGAGTTCACATGGCAATCCTGGGTGAGATACAGATCCACTGAAATTTTGCTTATCACTTCTTATCATCTGCCCTAGCCACAAACCAAGGCTCTACAAAACTCAACTTTGAACAAAATATACTGGCGGCTCCTCATGACAGGTGTCTATGACATGAGCTTTAAAGCTAAACCCAAAGCCAAAGATGCCAGTGGAAAATGCTTGGTTCTTCTCATACTATAAATGTTGATAATTCATTATATGAACTCAGGCACGTAGACTGAAGTTGAAAGGTCACAATCATTCCTTAAGGATACCACAAAAAATTAAGCAAAGGCACCAGAGAAACTCCTATTTTATTCAAGAAATAAATAGCTAAGCATTCAAATAATCTTAAAAGATACTGATGAAAGGTAATCTGCATATTTCTTTCAGTAAAATAGAGACCATTTTAAAACTGATTACAATCTGGCAGAAAGGTAGGTACTAATGCTCTAGGATGTAAATTGCCTAGCAACAATTTTTGCTATCAAAGACACCACATTCTAAAGCTTTAGTCCTCATTTCAGAGGCAGAGACCTCTTTTTTGTAGTGTAATCTTTAGACAAGAAGATCCATGCCCATAAACATATGCACAATAATAAAGCTGCCCAGAAAAGACGAAATGGAATGTTGGCAGAACGCAGTGTTGTTTCTGCCATGGCTGTGCCAGTTACATGATACCTACTGGAATTGTTGGTTGAAACACTTTTCCAATTCAGGGGAAATGAATACCAGTGAGGGTTCACGTTCTGGTATAAAAATGGCAGTGCTCAGCTAAAGTCAAATAAAAGTCAGAGCTCTAGGAAAGTATAAGAGGAAATTATTTCTGCTCCAAGCTAGGGCTAAGACTATAGGAATTCAGGTCAAACCTAGCCTGAGTTTAAACTAAATAGGGCATCAGACATGCTTTCATTTGGGAAGAATATAATAGTGAGGAGGAATTTTATACTTTTAAAAATCTTTTTTACTGTGAAAGTGCTGATTTTCAATTATTCTAGGCAACTATACTTCATGGGATGAAGAAAATACAGTATCACTGTTTTTTCAACCAGACAAAAGTTGTGGGTTAAATGTCTGATGCTATAGAGAAGACACATACAAGTCTGCCAACCTAGTAGTTCTTCTAGAGTGTGGAATGAAATTATACTCACTCCCCTGAACAGTTAAAGGGCAGAAATTCACCTGGAGCCTGGAGTGTTTTTGTAATAAATCTCTAGGAGTACACTGTTAGAATATTCCAATGACTGCCCGAGATTCTCTATTTTCACGTGTTCTCTATTTTCATGTGGCAACAGGTCTGATGGAAAGCAGCAGATAGTTTAGTGGTGTGTCAAGGTGGCACCAGCGTCTGGTGAAATTGACATCCTGCTGGAAGATGTCACTTAATATGGCATAATCTAGACTACCCACCTAAACCCAGTTGACTTGCCATCTGCTCCACAGTGAAACTGGCATGATCTCTAAGAGGAAACGTACTGCCATCCTATATAATGGCCTTTGGGATGGGAAGCCAATTGACCATGTTAAGTTATGTTGATTAATTGTTGATGCTAAAATCAAGATTCCAAGCCAAAAACAGAAAACAATTATAAGACTCTTGTTCATTCTGGATTTGTAGTCTGAAAATGTGTTATAAATTTAGAACTCATATTTATAGTAAAATACTTATGTCTATACATATTTGCCACCAATAATTACATGCTTCCAGGTCTTGAGATAAATTACTAATTTTGTAGTTTTCCACACACTACACATACACACATGCACACATGCATGCACATATATTTGTGCTTGCACTTGCTATACTATGACTTATCCGAACATTTTAAGATATAATCCTCATAGGCAATTATTTCTCTGCTAAAAGAAAATGACCTCTATAGCTATACTGGTTAACTCACATAAGCGTACTCCTCTCCATACAGTTCCCTTTCAAAGGGATCACTGTGTCAGAAGCAGCATAGCACCAGGAACACAGAATGAGGTTTGTGATTATCATTCTTATTTCATACTACATAAAATGATCTCCATGAACTTCTTAGGCTATAATTTGTTGACACTTAAACTCTGCAGTCATCAGAGCTGCAGTTTTTCTCAGTGTGTATGCTTTACCTCTCCACGATGTGCTATTAGATCTAAGTCTTTATTCCTATAGTTTGTGGTTAGTATATACTTATGCCCATCTATTTTATGTTTAAATACACACCCATATTATCGTTCACATAGAGAGATCAGTTTTTCTTTTGCCTGTATCATATTTAAATTGGTTGTATTGGTTTCTTCATGAATTTTGTAACCAATCTATGTTTCATCTAAATGATAGGTGAACCTATGTTTGGGGCTAAAGGCAGCTCTACTCCGCAAGTAGAGTAGGTCAGACATGGGCAGGTGCACCAATCAACCCCACAGTGAGAGAGCTATAATGATGAGATATATTGTGGACTTGTTGGCTTCATCTCCATCAATCGTGGGAAACCCTGAGAACAATTAGATTTGACACTGACAGACCCTCATACTCAAAACTCTAGGGGGAGGGATCCCTCCTGCCAACTGTTTTCCCAACAGGAGTCAACTGTTTGTCTAAAATGTCTGGCTCCTAAGCCAGTGTCCAGAAGAGCGCCTTAAAAAGTGAAAGTGTCCAAATTAAATCTAAGCAAGGGACTGTGTTAATTTAGAAATGTAGCTTTAATCTAGGCAAGAAGAAGTGGCATTTGGAAAGGATTTTAAGATAATCCTTGAAAATGTTTCTGCATTTTATCTTTCAACATGCAGATAGAAAATTATAAAAGGTAAGGGAGGCAAACTGTGTCTGTAATTTATCTAATTCTTTTCTGGTTTTACCAGTGCCTTTGAAATTTGTGTTTCTGTCCATCCAAGGAGTGTAAAATCTTCCATGTTTGTTTATATATTTATAAGTACATAGTTGTTTTTATTTCCTTCTATTACAGAAAATTTTGCATATACGTATTTACAATATTTACATACGTAATATAGATATATAATGGAATGAAGACAAAAAGCAAGAAAACATAATAATTTCTGAAGTTATACACATAGTAATTTTATTTTAATTTAGTGACTACTTTGAAGATAATGTGAACTCTTTGAACATTGAAAACATAATTTAGTAATTGTGGTTCTTAAACATTTAGGGAACATTTATTCCAAAAAGCAAATTTTAAAAAATCCCCAAATTCTTCTATTTTGTTGTTTGCTTAAGACTCCCTGCCTAAGAGAAACTATATTGTATAAATAGTTGAAAGATGATACAAATTGTTTTCTAGTATGCCTTTTCTTTATTAAGCTCTTAAAGAAACCTGCGTTGTCATTTCTGTTGGTCAAATACTTTGAATATGTTGTTTTTCACCTCTGTGCCTTTATATGTTCATATTTTATTAAGAAAAATTCAATTCAAAGCTATTTCTTGATTTTTGGAATATATTTGGGACAAAATATATAACAATGAAAATTCTTTAAGCCCAGCTGACCTCTGTTTCACAGCAAAACTGACACATATGAAAGTAGCCTCTGTCTTATCATTGCAAAAGAACCCAAGTCAATCAAATTTATTGCACCTTCAAGATTATCTTAGGAAAAGATATCAAGAAAAGAAACAATATTCTTGCTCAGCATATTTTTCTTCTCTAGAAGATGAATCTGCTCTCTCTGATAGCAGATGTAATCTCTTTCATATTCTTCCTAAAGCAACCACTTCAAAGAAAACAACTTATTTTAGTCCCAGGCAAGAGCTCTTACCTTCCCTATTGTCATGTGTCTCTATTGTAGGTTTAGCTGTATTTTTTAATGGTGGTAATGTAAACAAGATAGAAGTTGATTACTATCTTATACAAAAGAAGCCATCATTGATTCTGTTTCTGTTCGTAGAATGATGGCCATCTTAGTGTCATAATATTTAAATTTCAGGCCCACAGAGGGAGAAAGCAAAAGGAAAAAGGGTTTCTCTTCCAGAAAAATTATGTCTTATGAAGCAACCTTCATAGAAGTTCTATAATTTTCAAGTTCATCTTACATTTGATTGGCCAAAACTTAGTCATATGACCACATCTTGCAGGAAGGTAGGCTGGGAAATGTAATCTTTTATTCTGGGTGGCTATATGTTCTATATTAGAGGTTGTAGTATGTTCCTAATAATCTGTTATCATAGCTGTTAGACCTCTATAATTCTACCTCTTTCAGAAAAAAATTTTCCAATCTTTCCCACATTGTAAATTTCTATATCTACACTTGGAATCAGTTATTTTGCGTGTAACAAAATACTGAAAATCATCACTACTCACTATAATTCATTTATGTTATAATTCATTTATGAGTGCCTTGTCTACTAACAGTGACATATTCAATTCTTTGAAAGGGGACTCATATTGTAAGCTCCCTTTGATTCTCCATAGAATCCTGCTTTGTAAGAAATACTGCTTATTTTAAATTAGGCACTGTAACACCATCGATTAATATTTTTGGATCAATTCATTTCATGACTTAACATTTCTATTCTTAACTGTACTTTGACTTATGACTTTATAAGGACAACAGGAACTATTTGAAAAGGACTGAAATCATATTAGGGAATGACAAATAGTCACTTTACTGACAATAATCTTATGCCTAAAATATGTCATATACTATAGTAACTCCTTCATCAGAATATTTATAAAACTGTTCATTAATACATCATATATAATATACAAAGACAAATTCCTACAACTTGACAGGATCTATTTATTCTTTGCCTGGATTTATTAAAATTATGTGGATATGATGGATATATATATATTTGTAGTTTTCCATGTTTACTTATGCTTTTGTAATATGAATAGAAAGTCAGTTCACTCCAAAACAAAGATCAAACAAAGTTTTTATTTTTCTTTTCATTCCTCATGCAATAACTCCTATGTGGAGAGAATCTTTTCAGGGCAACCTAAGAAGTGGCACATGGACGCTGGCTCCCTACTCTGCCAATCGGATTGGCTTGAGCAAGTAAATACCACTGTTCAAATGATACCCAAGAAGTAAAATCCCTGTTGAACTATGTGTCCTCACAAATGAACACATCTTTCCTCCTGCTTACTGCTGAAGCTTGAAGTAGAAACAGTGTCTGAATGTGTCTATCTGCAACTTCAAGGACCTTGAGGGGGTTAGATGCCCTGAGAGCATATCCAAAGCTAGGGATTTGTTGTAATTTACAGTTTCCTTGAGAAATCTGTTGAGAATCAAAGTTTACATGGAGAAACTCCTGAGAAGAGGGTCAAAAGTAATATTTCTTTCTTCCTACAGCAGTTATAAGAAAATCCAAGGTATGTTGATCCAACTAGAATCTCAGTTATACTTGAGAACAGTATTCCTTCATGTAATTGCAATATATAAATGTAAAAGGTGGAAACTATTCATATTAGCTATCAAAATTTTCAGTGACAAGATATTCAGAACTATTATATTGTGCAAATAATTAAACTACCCACACAAGCAACTATGCAAATTTTATAAAAAAGAACTATTTGTATGTCTGTCTTTCAACCTGATCTATATTTTAGGAATCTATGTCACTAAATATGAAGGAAATCCATAATTTTATAGTACACTAGAATTCCAAAGTACACTTCTTGGACTTCCGTTGCCCTCTAAAAGCCTAATTCCTGAGGATTTAATGGGTAGCTGCAATATGAATATGCTAGAGATGCTGCTACTTGTCCATTGTATTAATTTTATCAAGTCAGAAAATCTGTCCTTTGTGTACTAGAAACAAGTGGACACAAGTTTACAATCTTTGCAGAAGCCTCAATTTTATCATGTGCAGCTGTGAAAGTAGGTTGGGTGCATTTAACTAGGTTATTTGCACCATGCTATTGAACCAACTGGATGCTTCTTTCAGCATTCCACTTTATTTTTTATTTTTTGTAGATCTGCATAGATATCTGGGCTGAATTAAATGTTTAGCATACAGAGCAGAACAGTATACTTTAAAATGTAATTTTTTTTCTTTACCCAGGATGAGTGTGTTAATCTAGGAAGACAAAAAGTTGATATTTATCATTGGGACTGAGATAAAATTTACCCTTAATATGTATTCCCTTAATATGTAAATGATGTATTCCCTTAATATGTAAATTATGAAAAGTTGAAATGTGCATAAGACATTATTTCTGTGCTTAGAGTTATTTGACCATGTTTTGCCTGCTTCTCTGTTTTATTTTTTAAACATTTTTATGTATGTCAATAAAGCGTAATGCAGATCTTATTAGTTGCCTATCTGGTATCTATTTCTCACCTTTCTTTTCTGTTACAGAACTCAAATTTTGTTCATGTAAACATGTGTTCCCAGTGTAACTGAGAGGAAACTGACTGAGCCACCAGAGCCTGATTTATCTAAACCAATAAATGCATGGCATTGCCCTGGTGATGTTACTGGTGCAGAAGTGGGCATTTGAGCTAAGTTTGCCCAATTATAGTCCATGATTGGGGGAGAGGTTTCTCCATCTCTTTCAAAAGATGTGAAAAAGAAGGACAATGATTCACTTGATGCTGTCAACCCTGGACCCTGAGGGCCAAAGTAAGGAAAAGCCGACAGATGAAAGATGACACAGAGGAATTTTAAAAACCTCGGTTCTTGATGACAACACTGAGTTAATGAATCTATCAGCCTAGGAAACTTCCTTATTTCTGAGCGTCTTGTTATGTGAGATGATAAATATCCTTATGGTTTAAGTTAGTTTGAATCATTTTTTTCACCTTGCAGTCAAAAGTAATTTAAAAAAAAACAACATTAATAGAAGTTCATCATAATCACATGAGAAAATATGGAAAAGTAAATGAAAGAAAATAAAAAGATCTGTAACAGCAACACCTGGAAATGCCACTGTTAACACTGAGGTATGAATAGAAGTTTCTTAGTTTTTGCATATACACATTATATCTATTGTATATGTGATTTGAAAGACTATATTTTTATATATTTATCAATCAATTTTATTGTTTTTTTTCTGTCGATATATTTTGTTCATCTTTCTAATGGGTGCTTCAATGCTTCTCTTTCTGATTGACAGGTTTTTAAATAATCTGAAGATGTGTATTCAATAAATATTTATTAATCACCTACTAGATATTTTGTTAATTAATCACCTGCTAGACATTTTGTTGAGTCTGAGGGTACAATAATAAGTGAATGTAGGTAATGTCCTGAGTTCATGGAGCTTCTTGAACTTAGAATTCAAAGAAGAGCCATATTTATAAAATAATCATTCAGATACATGCATTGTTACAAGCTAATTGCTGCGAAGGAGAGACACATGATATTAAAAGTGCTTCTAATAAGGGAACACTACTTATTAATCAGTCATGGCAAGTTTTGGTGACGTAACCAGTGAGCCAAAATTTGAAGACTGATTCACACAGTGGGCAGGCGAGAGTATCTTCAAATCTCTGTGTATGAAGGGCCCATGGTACCTTTGAGCAACTAAAACAAGGCCATGAAAATCGGATCACAAAGAGTGCTATACAAGAAGCAGACAGGGTTCGATCATGCGGGGCTTAGAAGAAAGCTTGCCTTTATTACACAATCAGTGGAGAATAACTAAAAGTTTGAGATTAGAGGTAGGGGCTGAGATAAGATTATTTTTTGAAAAATAATTATTCTGGCTTCAGTGTAGAGCTGTACTGAACAAAGGAAAGTATAGATAGGAGCAAAACTAAAGAGGAAAAGAAATTAAATTTGATACATAATTGGGGATTAAAATTGGTGCTAAATTGGTGGAAAGGGATTACTGTTAATTCTTAGGTTTTGTCTCATGGAAAGAAACAATGGAACATTTTACTGGATAGCTGAATGTATCAAACTTATTCTCTTCTATCTTTTTATATCAATGTTGTGCTCCTTAATCATAATAACTTAGATATTTCCCTATATGTTCCTGTTACATGCTTTTTTTTTATATTCCTTGACATTGACTGTGTCTCCAAGTTTCTCAGGATTATGGTAAGAGGCAGTGCTGTACTTCAAAAAATAATCTATAGTTTTTTTGTCTGATGATGCTAATTGTGGGAGATTTTGAAATTATGAAGAGTATAAAAACAAAATATAAATATTAATGACTTCTTATCTCAAAGATTACTATTATGCTGCTTTTCCCAAATGCATATCTATAATATAGACAATTTTTTAAGAAAATTAAAATCCTGCAATATAGTCTTTCTTATTTATTTGTTTTCACTCAATTTTATGTTATCAGTGATTTTAGTCTTTAAAATGTGATGTTTATTACTTGTATCCCTCTATTGTAATAATATACCTTGAATTATTACTTTATTTAGACATTGTTATTATAAATGATGTTGCATTGAACATCTTTAAACAGCAATATTTTAATACTTCTTTTGAGTAGGTTTTTGGAGTTACTAGGTCCAGAAGAGTTTTATGTGCCCAGTATAAGATGTTCATTTGTACATCTAAAAATAGAGATTTTTATTTCATACCCGCATGTGATCTGGTATGTATACAAAGACATGCACTTAATATTAAGTACATTTAATTAAAAACTTACTTGGATTTTCTGATTTTAATATTATAGAAAGTCAAAGGATTATATGGCTTTTGTCCTTACAGTCAGTATATAGCTTGAGAGCAAACAACTTTATCATGACTTGATTTGCTTCTCCTGTCTATTTTACCAGTGGTCTAAATTAGCTTAGACTGCTATAACAAAATACCAGGCTGGGAGGCTTTAGCAACAGAAATTCACTTTCTTGCAGCTCTGAGGGAGTCCAGGATCAAGGTGCCAGTAAGGCCTGTTTCATTCTGAGGCTTCTTCTCTTGGCTCGTAGGCAACTACAGTCTCACTGGGTGCTCACATGGCCTTTCCTTGGTATATGCTGAGAGAGAGAGAGAGAGAGAGACAGACAGAGAGGAGATTTCTAGTGTCTTGTCTTATAAGAACACTAATTCATTGGATCAGGGTACACACATATGACTTCATTTGACTTAATTACTTCCTTACAGACCCCATCTCCAAATATAGCCACACTGAGTTTTAGTGCTTCAACAATTTTAAGGGGCCACAAACTTTCAGTCTATAACACTAACCAAATGTTTTTTTCTGTCAGTAGATATTCTGTACCCTCACATGGATATGGAAAACTAACAGAAATTTATTGTAGACAATATAGAATATAAAAGAGTAATTAAAAATAGACAAACAAAAGAGCAAATCTATAAATATTTCTTAAAGATTACACTGCTAACACATAGGTGTAATCTCTTCAAGACTTCTATAAATAATTATTTTGATTTTTTCCTTTCTAAAGTTATAATTAGGTACTCTATATAGTATTTTATGTGCATATACACTTTTACTTTAAATATGATGCTGGTTGTTGATTTGCCTCAGTTGTTCTTGACAAAGTGAAGGACATGTCCTTATATTCATCATGGCACATAAGAGTTTCTATTTACCCTTCATTCTGCTAATATTTATTGGACATCCACCATGTGCCAGACCTTGTTGGAAAGAAGGTAAATAATACATACACAAAAATGATGATTTCCCATTGATATACATGTTTTAAAGAAAATAAGGCCAAGTTGGAAAGTACCTTAACATGGGGAGAAAGAGGAAAGACCATCATTTCTCACAGGAAGGTCAGGAAGGCTTCGTTAAGGAATGTTACTTGAACAGAAATACGAATGACGTATTTCTTTTCCAAGCTTTTTCAGGAAGTTAGGAGAAATTGAAGCAGGTGCTGCCAAGTTAAAGCACTATATAAACTGACCATCTTATTGATAAATATTTGCAAGTTTCAATCTGATTATTTCTCACTGAAACATAACTTAAAAAGTGACCAGAACAAAACTTGCACATGTAAAACCAAATTTGAATTAGCAGGGTATAATTTTTTTTTTTTTTTTTTTTTTTTTTTTGAGACGGAGTCTCGCTCTGTCGCCCAGGCTGGAGTGCAGTGGCGGGATCTCGGCTCACTGCAAGCTCCGCCTCCCGGGTTCACGCCATTCTCCTGCCTCAGCCTCCCAAGTAGCTGGGACTACAGGCGCCCGCCACTACGCCCGGCTAATTTTTTGTATTTTTAGTAGAGACGGGGTTTCACCGTTTTAGCCGGGATGGTCTCGATCTCCTGACCTCGTGATCCGCCCGCCTCGGCCTCCCAAAGTGCTGGGATTACAGGCGTGAGCCACCGCGCCCGGCCAGCAGGGTATAATTTTAAAATGAATAGGTTGTCATAAATATTACTCATCCTTTGCTTCTAGATGAGAAGTGAGAAGTCACTATAGCATCTGAAACAATACAGAGGTTTGGTAATCAGTGTTCTACTGATTTAGATGACTTCATTCTTTAGTAGAATAAAGCAATAAATAAATAAATAAATAAATGCATGAATGGATAGGTGAATAAATGACTGCCATTTACAGAGTACTTTTCAAAATAAAAAACTCCTTTAACCAACATTATTTTATTAAAGATGTGCAACATTTTAAAAACAATAAATACTTTTTATAGTTAGCTAGAAGAGGCAAAGAAGGCTTCAGATGATCAAACTACTCCATGCTAAAGGAGGAAGTTTGAACCCATGGCAAAGAAGTTAAAAATCTTGAAAAAAAATCTGACGAATGGCTAACTAGAATAACCAATGCAGACAAGTCCTTAAAGGACCTGATGGAGCTGAAAACCAAGGCACGAGAACTATGCGATGAATGCACAAGCCTCAGTAGCCGATTCAATCAACTGGAAGAAAGGGTATCAGTGATGGAAGATCAAATGAATGAAATGAAGTGAGAAGAGAAGTTTAGAGAAAAAAGAATAAAAAGAAACGAACAAAGCCTCCAAGAAATATGGGACTATGTGCAAAGACCATATCTACATCCAATTGGTGTACCTGAAAGTGACAGGGAGAATGGAACCAAGTTGGAAAACACTCTGCAGGATATTATCCAGGAGAACTTCCCCAGTCTAGCAAGGCAGGCCAACATTCAAATTCAGGAAATACAGAGAATGCCACAAAGATACTCCTCGAGAAGAGCAACTCCAAGACACATAATTGTCAGATTCACCAAAGTTGAAATGAAGGAAAAAATGTTAAGGGCAGCCAGAGAGAAAGGTGGGGTTACCCACAAAGGGAAGCCCATCAGATTAACAGCAGATCTCTCGGCAGAAACTCTATAAGCCAGAAGAGAGTGGGGGACAATAATCAACATTCTTAAAGAAAAGAATATTCAACCCAGAATTTCATATCCAGCCAAACCAAGCATCATAAGTGAAGGAGAAATAAAATCCTTTGCAAACAAGCAAATGCTGAGAGATTTTGTCACCACCAGGCCTGCCCTACAAGAACTCCTGAAGGAAGCACTAAACATGGAAAGGAACAACCAGTACCAGCCACTGCAAAAACATGCCAAAATGTAAAGACGATCGAGGCTAGGAAGAAACTGCATCAACTAACGAGCAAAATAACCAGCTAACATCAGAATGAAAGGATCAAATCACACATAACAATATTAACCTTAAATGTAAATGGGCTAAATGTTCCAATTAAAAGACACAGACTGGTAAATTGGATAAAGAGATCACATGGACACAGGAAGGGGAATATCACACTCTGGGGACTGTGGTGGGGTGGGGGGAGGGGGGAGGGATAGCACTGGGAGATATACCTAATGCTAGATGACGAGTTAGTGGGTGCAGCGCACCAGCATGGCACATGTATACATATGTAACTAACCTGCACAATGTGCACATGTACCCTAAAACTTAAAGTATAATAAAAAAAAAAAAGAGTCAAGACCCATCAGAGTGCTGTATTCAGGAAACCCATCTCATGTGCACAGACACACATAGGCTCAAAATAAAGGAATGGAGGAAGATCTACCAAGCAAATGGAAAACAAAAAAAGGCAGGGGTTGCAATCCTAGTCTCTGAAAAAACAGACTTTAAACCAACAAAGATCAAAAGAGACACAGAAGGCCATTACATAATGATAAAGGGACCAATTCAACAAGAAGAGCTAACTATCTTAAATATATATGCACCCAATACAGGAGCACCCAGATTCATAAAGCAAGTCCTTAGAGACCTATGAAGAGACTTAGACTCCCACACAATAATAATGGAAGACTTTAACACCCCACTGTCAATATTAGACGGATCAACGAGACAGAAAGTTAACAAGGATATCCAGGAATTGAACTCAGCTCTGCACCAAGCAGACCTAATAGACATCTACAGAACTCTCCATCCCAAATCAACAGAATATACATTCTTCTCAGCACCACACCGCACTTATTCCAAAATTGACCACATAGTTGGAAGTAAAGCTCTCCTCAGCAAATGTAAAAGAACAAAAACTATAACAAACTGTCTCTCAGACCACAGTGCAATCAAACTAGAACTCAGGATTAAGAAACTCACTCAAAACCGCTCAACTACATGGAAACTGAACAGCCTGCTCCTGAATGACTACTGGGTACATAACGAAATGAAGGCAGAAATAAAGATGTTCTTTGAAACCAATGAGAACAAAGACACAACATACCAGAATCTCTGGGATACATTCAAAGCAGTGTATAGAGGGAAATTTATAGCACTAAATGCCCACAAGAGGATGCAGGAAACATCTAAAATTGACACCCTAACATGACAATTAAAAGAACCAGAGAAGCAAGAGCAAACACATTCAAAAGCTAGCAGAAGGCAAGAAATAACTAAGATCAGAGAAGAACTGAAGGAAGTAGAGACACAAAAAACCCTTCAAAAAATCAATGAATCCAGGAGGTGGTTTTTTGAAAAGATCAACAAAATTGATAGACCACTAGGAAGACTAATAAAGAAGAAAAGAGAGAAGAATCAAATAGACACAATAAAAAATGATAAAGGGGTTATCACCACCAATCCCACAGAAATACAAACTACCATCCGAGAATACTATAAACACCTCTCTGCAAATAAACTGGAAAATCCAGAAGAAATGGATAAATTCCTTGATACATACACCCTCCCAAGACTAAACCAGGAAGAAGTTGAATCTCTGAATAGACCAATAACTGGCTCTGAAATTGAGGCAATAATTAATAGCTTACCAACCAAAAAAGTCCAGGACCGGAGGGATTCACTGCTGAATTCTACCAGAGGAACAAGGAGGAGGTGGTACCATTCCTTCTGAAACTATTCCAATGAACAGAAAAAGAGGGAATCCTCCCTAACTCATTTTATGAGGCCAGCATCATCCTGATACCAAAGCCTGGCAGAGAAACAACAAAAATGAGAATTTTAGACCAATATCTTTGATGAACATCAATACAAAAATTCTTAATAAAAAACTGGCAAACCAAATTCAGCAGCACATCAAAAAGCTTATCCATCATGATCAAGTGGGCTTCATCTCTGGGATGCAAGGCTGGTTCAACATATGCAAATAAATAAACATAATCCAGCATATAAACAGAAGCAAAGACAAAAACCATATGATTATCTCGATAGATGCAGAAAAGGCCTTTGACAAAATTCAACAACCCTTCATGCTAAAACCTCTCAATAAATTAGGTATTGATGGGACATATCTCAAAATAATAAGAGCTATCTATGACAAACACACAGCCAATATCATACTGAATGGGCAAAAACTGGAAGCATTTCCTTTGAAAACTGGCACAAGACAGGGATCCCCTCTCTCACCACTCCTATTCAGCATAGTGTTGGAAGTTCTGGCCAGGGCAATTAGGCAGGAGAAGAAAATAAAGGGTATTCAATTAGGAAAAGAGGAAGTCAAATTGTCCCTGTTTGCAGATGACGTGATTGTATATCTAGAAAACCCCATCGTCTCAGCCCAAAATCTCCTTAAGCTGATAAGCAACTTCGGCAAATCTCAGGATACAAAATCAATGTGCAAAAATCACATGCATTCTTATACACCAATAACAGACAAACAGAGAGCCAAATCATGAGTGAACTCCTATTCACAATTGCTTCAAAGAGAGTAAAATACCTAGGAATCCAACTTACAAGGGACGTGAAGGACCTCTTCAAGGAGAACTACAAACCACTGCTCAATGAAATAAAAGAGGATACAAAGAAATGGAAGAACATTCCATGCTCATGAGTAGGAAGAATCAATATTGTGAAAATGGCCATACTGCCCAAGGTAATTTATAGATTCAATGCCATCCCCATCAAGCTATCAATGGTTTTCTTCGCAGAATTGGAAAAAACTACTTTAAAGTTCATATGGAACCAAAAAAGTGCCCGCATTGCCAAGCCAATCCTAAGCCAAAAGAACAAAGCTGGAGGCATCATGCTACCTGACTTCAAACTATACTACAAGGCTACAGTAACCAAAACAGCATGGTACTGGTACCAAAACAGAGATATAGACCAATGGAACAGAACAGAGTCCTCAGAAATAATGCCACTATCTACAACCATCTGGTCTTTGACAAACCTGACAAAAACAAGCAATGGGGAAAGGATTCCCTATTTAATAAATGGTGCTGGGAAAACTGGCTAGCCATATGTAGAAAGCTGAAACTGGGTCCCTTCCTTACACCTTATATGAAAATTAATTTAAGATGGATTAAAGACATAAATGTCAGATCTAAAACCATAAAAACCCTGGAAGAAAACCTAGGCAATACCATTCAGGACATAGGCATGGGCAAGGACTTCATGTCTAAAACACCAAAAGCAATGGCAACAAAAGCCAAAATTGACAAATGAGATCTAATTAAACTAAAGAGCTTCTGCACAGCAAAAGAAACTACTGTCAGAGTGAACAGGCAACCTACAGAATGGGAGAAAATTTTTGCAATCTACTCATATGACAAAGGGCTAATATCCAGAATCTACAAAGAACTCAAACAAATTTGCAAGAAAAAAACAACCCCATGAAAAAGTGGGCAAAGGATATGAACAGACACTTCTCAAAAGAAGACATTTATGCAGCCAAAAGACACATGAAATAATGCTCATCATCACTGACCATCAGATAAATGCAAATCAAAACAATGAGATACCATCTCACACCAATTAGAATGGCAATCATTAAAAAGTCAGGAAACAACAGGTGTTGGAGAGAATGTGGAGAAATAGGAACACTTTTACACTGTTGGTGGGACTGTAAACTAGTTCAACCATTTTGGAAGTCAGTGTGGTGATTCCTCAGGGATCTAGAACTATAAATACCATTTGACCCAGCAATCCCATTAGTGGGTATATACCCAAAGGATTATAAATCATGCTGCTATAAAGACACATGCTCACATATGTGTATTGTGGCACTATTCACAATAGCAAAGACTTGGAACCAACCCAAATGTCCATCAATGATAGACTGGATTAAGAAAATGTGGCACATATACACCATGGAATACTATGCAGTCATAAAAAAGGATGAGTTCATGTCCTTTGTAGGCACATGGATGAAGCTGGAAACCATCATTCTCAGCAAACTATTGCAAGGACAAAAAACCAAACACCACATGTTCTCGCTCATATGTGGGAATTGAACAATGAGAACACATGGACATAGGAAGTGGTGCATCACACACTGGGGCCTGTTGTGGGTTGGGGGGTGGGGGTAGGGATAGAGTTTGGAGATATACCTCATGTTAAATGAGAAGTTACTGGGTGCAGCACACCAACATGGCACATGTATACATATGTAACTAATGGCACGTTGTGCACATGTACCCTAAAACTTAAAGTATAATAATAAAAACAAACAAACAAACAAAAAATAAAGTAAGTAAAAATATTCAGAAGCCAGGTTACAAATTCCACCTGTGTCTGTTACCACGTGAAAAATTTCTGGTAAATAATCCCTTTGCCCCTCAGTTTCCTCATCTGTAAGTTGAAGGTGGTAACATTTCAGGATTTTTTAAAACATTAAATGAATAAGGTATTTAGAATAATGCCTGTAGAATAGTATGTGTTTGATAAATATTAACTTATAAAGATGGCAGAGATAGTATTAGATGTATGGAATAGAACTAGCCTCAAATTTAGACAGAAGTTGTCTCACAGTTGTGTTTTTTCTATTTAAAAAAGCTAATAAAACATAATAACAAGGGATATGCTGAAGAATTTGTTCTATCAGCTCAATGTTCTCATGTAAAAGAGACATAATGAATGTTTAATATTTTGCACACTAACTGGCATATAAGGGTTACGGTTATTATAAGTACATTCAGCTAAATTAAGAACCCAGTTATTTTAAGGCCAAAGCATTTATATAAATAGAGTATGTTGTTAGAGGGACTATAGCAAGCTATATAATAGCCAGAGATTTGCTACTTGTCTCTACTGGCTATGGACAATTCCTCTCAAAGCACAGCTTGCTGTATCTCCTTAAAAACCATTCAGCCTAGTTTTCCTCTAACGTGCCCATATGGACAATGTTATTTTGCAGTGTTACTCATCTGATTGGGAAACAATGTCATTTTTAGATGTCATTGGAAATGACTATGTTATCTGGCCAGGGCTGTTAGTTTCTCCCCCACATTCATCAGTAAGCATGGCAACCGGGGATTTTGCCTGCAGTGGCACCTGTGTATTTAAAAGCTTTTACTCCCCTTTGCTCAGCGTTTGGAAGCATGTTCAAGCTCTAAAAGTCATATAGCAGCTGGGTGGGAGGAAAAGATCATAGGCCAGAAAAATTCATCCCAGACCACTTGAAGATGAATGTCTAAACCTATCACCTGACCTGAAAATGTTCTACCTGAATTGAATGAATGTACTACCTAATATGAATGAGTGTACATTGCAGCACATTTTTAATGGTATAATAATATTAAATGCAAGAATGTGAATAATTAGTCCTGTTTATGCTATCGTTTCAAATATTTGATTGATAATTATAGCTAGTCTTACTAAAACTTGACCTTTAAGAAGGTTTTGCCATAACACTCAGTCATTGTAACTTTGTGTGTGTGTGTGTGTGTGTGTGTGTGTGTTCAAATATATGTCCATTTCAGCTGAACATATTGTTGCTTCCAGAGGTTTCTCTCTCTTTCTCTTTTCTTTTCTTCATTTTCTTTTATTTTTATTTTTTTGTCAGCATGTCAGGATTTCAAGTTTTTTCTTATGCTTAGGTATTCTGTCTTTTACGGTAAATTCTTTATGATGTACTTTCGGATACCCTGTTAATAGTGAATGAATGCATTTAATTTAAATTAATAAAAATGGAAGCTCAAATAGGTTAAATGACTTAAAAATATACAAGCTCACATAGAAATTATAACATTTCTTATTATTTTTATCTTCTTGAAATATCTCTATAACATCTTCCTATTACTTATTCTTCTCTGTAGAAATATGATTTATCCAATAAATCACTCTGCAAATATGAAGTCGACCTCAACTACTTATTGAGTTTGTTTTTAAATTTAATTACTCTTTGTGTTCTTTAAAATGTCTTTTGTTAAAACAGTTTTAATCATGAGAAAATTGGGTGAACCCATGACTAACACTCTGTAGGGAATAGTCTTGAATGTCTGGCATCATATTTCCCAAGCAGTCTTTCTGCCACAGAAAATGATTTATTAACCAGAGTTCAGCTGCCTTTTGCTTTTGTTGTTGATGACAAAAGGCATGTTTAAGCATGTGAAATTGGCTTAACATAGTGGACAGAAATGATGGTCAACCATAGGAGAATTTGCTGCCAATGCATATTTTTTCTTTTTGTTGCATATAAGGAATAGTTCATCTGACCTCAAAGAAAAGAAACATATGCTCCCCCAGATAAGGTTCTAGAGATGAATGAGTCTGTCTGTTATATAGCATTTGTTGGTCAGGGAGAAGGGAAGAAAAAGGAGGGTGGAAAATAAGCAGAAAATGAGACTCATCGAAAACCTGATTCCAAAGGGAAAAGTGAAGTAAGACAGAGAAATGATCTGTAAAATGGAATGAAAGTGGGGTGAATGGATGGCGAATGTAAAATAAGCACAGGTATGTTGGCAGTCAGTAGTCCCTCTGGGGCCATATTTGTTATGTGTCCCTCAGCAAATGATTCTGGAATGTTAAACAGTCAATGTGTTTGCTTTAATGAATTAGGCTGTCAAAAATAAATAAATAAGCTCAATTTGGGGACTATGGCACATCAATTATAAAATTCCAACACACGCGAACATTATCCAGGTTCTATTTTGGGTTTTGTCTACACATACTGAATGAATTGAATTAAGACTGTAGAGTTCTTGGCCTAGTTTGTTGTGCTTCATATAGTTGGAAGGTCAAAGTGGTGGTTTCACCTTTTCATAGCATTAGGACAATTCTGGATAGCTGTTTTAAAGTTCCACAAAGGATTACCCTCTATGACACTGTTTTATTGTGTGCCTGCATCTCTTACTCACTACCCTTTTCCCATTCTGTTCCATTCCAACCCATTTTCTAAACTGGTTATATTTTGTTTTGTTAGAAATATTTATACTAGTCAAATCCTTTTTGATATTCCAATATTACTTGATTTATTGAACACCATTTTATTCTTGATTCTTTTATTTTCATGATGCTTCACTTACCAGTTTTCCTTTGTACCTTTGTTACTATGTTTCCCTTATCCTCTCTTTTTGTTTCCTCTCTAAACATATATAAATCAGTGATATTCAGTGAGAAAAGTGTTCTTTGATCAAATACATTTTAAAAATATATGCAAATTATAACCTCTTCTTGAGGATTCACCATAGCATGCTAGAGTCTTTCCAAGTCCTAGAATAAAGAAAGGTGTGTAAATGTATGTAACTCAACATCTAGCACTATTTTAAACTCTCTTATTGGTTTCTGGCTTGTTGCTATGCTTTAAAGGAGCATGTGTTTGCAAATAACATATATATTATAATATATATAATATTATATATATAATACATATAATTATATATATATATATAAAATGAGTCACATTTTCTATCTGAAGCATCAACTCAACATTTGTAGTTAACTTTTGAATATATTGGTCTAAATATTATGCCAAAACTTTGAATTCAATATTTTCAAATAAAGATTCATGATTTCCCTCCTTAATTAAAATAGTTATCAGTTGGCTTCAGTGAGCCAGGCACAGCTAGGTGCTAAGGATGGAGCAATAAACAGGATATTGTTTCTGTGGTAGACACAAGTAAGTAGAAAGTGGGATGAGGTTTGAGATCGATGAGGAAAAAAATGGGAGACTGGAGAGCTAAACTGAGATCAAATCATGAAA
The DNA here is from genome assembly GCF_000001405.40 of Homo sapiens. Classification (NCBI taxonomy): domain Eukaryota; kingdom Metazoa; phylum Chordata; class Mammalia; order Primates; family Hominidae; genus Homo; species Homo sapiens. The sequence continues at coordinate 97,251,132 of NC_000004.12, read as the reverse complement.
AGCATTGAACATCATTCTGTGGTGTTTGAAGTTTGTCTTGATAGCAATGGAAGCCTTTGATGGGCTTCAAGGTAAGCAATGATCTAATTTGCATTTTTAAGATCATTATGACTCCATGACAAGGTGTACATTAGAAAAGGCAAGGCTGGAAACTGAAATCTGATACCATAAGCCAATGAGATGACAGTGTTATGGAACTTACCAGAATCTGTCTTTCAGTATTTTTTAATGTGAGTACTTTGCTATTTTCTCTACTAAGTGTGAGGTCCCGAAGGACAGTAACTTTATCTTGTTTATCCTTGTATATTTGCCCATCCTTAGCTCAGTTTTTTGCACACAGTGCATGCCTTCTTAATGTTTGCTCAGTGAGTAAATAAATATAAACCTGTTACTATTTAAAACATTTTGTGGAGCACAGTCCTCATACGACTGATAATCAAAAAGATATAAAGGAAGAAGTTAATGAGAACCAGGAAAAATAGGGAATTAGCGATGGGTGAACTACAATCATAAAGAAAGAAAATAAAATTTGATGATAGGAATTGCCTATTTAGGAGACATGTTAGTTTAAAAGACAGGTAATTTAATACAAAGACTTTCACCGTGAAGTCACAGAACCTCAGTCCTACTATCACCAATGTGTATGTGTGTGCATGCATATATTTATGCATAGTCTAGTTCTTACAAGCTATCATATGTAAATTATTTATATATCATTAATTAATTAATTTACATAGCACAGCTTATAAGAACTAAAATATGCAGTAAAATTATGTAGGCAGAACAGTCCCAGTTTGGTTGCTGTTCAGTAACTCCACCTGAAGTGAATTTCAGTCTAGGGTACAGAAAATGGGTAAACAGGAGCCTTAAAATGCTGATGATTCTATTTTGCACTCACAGAGTGTAAGGTGGGGTGAATGTTTTGAACACCCACTCATTATTGTGTTATTGAATTTAGGCTAAGAGTCTAGAAATATTGTTCAGTTTTGGTGAAATTGGAGGAACTCTTCATGCTCTTGGCAAAAGTTAAGAAAAAATAGTTTAGCATCAACAAAGTTTACCTCTACTATACGTTTATTATGTGCCAGGCTGTGTGCTATCCCATGGGAATCATCTCCACCTGCTCGTTATTATCCCTACAGTAGAGGCACGAAAATTGAAGATCACATAGGGTTAAATAATAGTTAATAACTGGCAAAGTATAGCTGACTTCAGTATGTGCTCTTAAACTATGTATTTCAAGCTTCTCAATTTTATTTCAAAGAAGGGAAAACAATTGGCTTCCTCATGAGTTTAGGGTGCCTGTGAATTGTCTTGGCCTCAGTTTGGATTAAAGCTGCTAAAAAGCCACCTTACATCAACTGTGTTTATTAGAAATTCTGCTGTGCTAGTCAATGTGTTAATAAAACTGACAGCTACAGTTTTTGTTAGAAAATATTATTTCCCTTGGTTATGTGTTCATCTAGAGCAAAGATATTATCTTCCCAATACCAAGAAACATGACTAGGATTTGTTCAACACAAGCCTGGGAATTGCCACACCTAAAAAGAATATTGCTAATAGCCATATCACCAAAGTAAGTTAAAATCAAGGTGCAGAAATCTCTGGTGATGATAACAATAAATAGCTAACATTGTTCCTGATGTTTAATGAGTATCCTAGACACAGCCAGAATTAATGCTTTGTGTTTTATAATATATATTTTAAAAGATTCTTCTATTTTTAGCTTTTGAAATATGGTCTTGGTCTCTGTGTGGATGGAGCTTCTACTGAGCTTGATTTTGTGTACTGTGCTTAAAAGAAAACAAGCACATTGTTTTAAAGTGTCAGCAGGGATATATGTAAAGACTGTAGGTGAATTACTCCTATGAAGAGTAGAGGAGTCAAGCAGCCCAAAATTGGCTCATTAAAACCAACCTCATCTAGCATCACAACCATTGCTCTGAGAAAAAATCTGTGGTAGCTATTCTGTGGGCAAGAAATAGCTATGTCATATTTTAAAGGAAAATCATTGATCCTGCCTTTTTTGTCAACCTTGAAACACATAATAAAGTACAGAAAAGAGAAAAGGAAGCTGTTCTGATTATTTTCCCTGAGACAGGGGATAGAAAGGCCTAGACCTAATAGGCAGGCTGTTTTGGAAAAGCTATGACTGCTTCAATTGCAAAGTGGTGTGAATAGATGCTCAACCTTGAACAGCTTGAATGAAACACTGCAAAACTTCTAGATGCCCAGGGAGCACATACAGAAGACTCACTGAACAAGGCCTTTCAATACAGGTAGTTCATACATTTTCTCTGAAGTTTTTTCTGAAGCTGAAGGCTGAAGTAGAATAAAAATAGACAATTCTCACCTTGGTGACATTTACTGACAGCAAAAGCGATATTATGAATAGAGTTTATTCTGCAAACTATCAAAAACCTAGCCTTTTACTCTTAGCTGGGAAATATTTGTATAGGCAGAGGCTTTGTTGAATTAATACATACAGCAAGGACTATGTTCTTATTTAATATAATCCTGGTCAGAGTTGTCCTTTGGTAGAAGTGTTTCAGAGGGCTTTGCTTCTATCAGCCATAAAATTTCCCACCTTCACCCTACTGGATCAAGTTTTATGTTCTTTTTAATGAGGTACCAGGAATTTTTGTTTTCAGGATTAGAGAAATGGCATAACTATCTATGGAAGCATAATTCATTCATATTAACCTAAAGTTGATCTCTTTTACTTTGCTGATTGAGGAAAATAAGAGTAAGACAAGAGATACCTTCTTGGAGTTCAGTTGTTGAATGAAAGATGATAAGCATTAGGGAAAAGCATGTGGAGGAAAAGATCATCTCCTTAATATGGGAGCAGTATGTACTTCTCTGATGCTTATAAAAGCATGTGTAGGCTGGGCATGATGGCTTACTCCTGTAATCCCAGCACTTTGGGAGGCCAAGGCGGGTGGATCACTTGAGGTCAGGAGTTCAAAACTAGCTTGGTCATAATGGCGAAACCCCATCTCTATTAAAAACACAAAAATTAGCCAGGCATGGTGGTGTGTGCCTGTAGTCCCAGCTACTTGTGGAGCTGAAGCAGGAGAATCACTTGAACCTGGGAGGCCGAGGTTGCAATGGGTGGAGGTTATAGTGAGCCAAGATCACGCCTCTGCACTGCAGGCTGAGCGACAGAGTGAGACCTGTCTCAATAAAAATAAAAATAAAAATAAAATAAAATAAAAATAAAAATAAATTAAAATAAAAATGCATCTGCAGAATTCAGTGCCACTGGGATGGGTGAGTTGATGAAAGAGCCAAAGTTCAAACCCATTTTGCCTGATGCTCATAGATGTCAGGCCTTGTTTTTAGAATGGAAATATATTTTTTAAAATGTTAAGATTGCAGAAATAAAGTCAGCTCAGCTTAATACATAGGCAGATATTTTCCCATGGCAACATCAACAGCTTCACTAAAAGAAGGACGCTAATGCTGACAGTTGTGTGAAAACACGTACTCCCATCCTCATACACAAAACACAAGTTACTTCATAGGTCAATAAGAAAAGTGACCATTTTCCTGCAGTATTCTATTAGAATTCAGTGAAAAAACAACATTTCTTTTCTGTTTTTAAAAACGTACTGGTATCAGATGACCCCAAAGCAGTTTGAACTTCATTAAAAATATACTAGTCTACAACCATTATGGAGAACCGTTTGGAGGTTCCTCAGAAAACTAAAGATTGAGCTACCATATGATCCAGCAATCCCACTGCTAGGTATACACCCATAAGAAAGGAAATCAGTATATCGAAGAAATATCCGCACTCTTATGTTTGCTACAATAGCTAAGGTTTGGAAGGAACCAATTACAATAGCTAAGATTTGGAAGACATCCATCAGCAGATGAATGCATAAAGCAAATGTGGTACATGTATTATGATGGTTTGCTAGATTGAGATAGCATCCTCTATGGAGAGAGGGTGCTTTACATATTATTCAGCCATAAAAAGAATGAGATCCAGTTATTTGCAACAACATGTATGGAACTGGTGATCATTATGTTAAGTGAAATAAGCCAGGAAAAGAAAAACAAACATTGCATGTTCTCACTTATTTGCGGGATCTAAAAGTCAAAACAATTGAACTCATGGCCATAGAGAGTAGAAAGATGGTTACCCAGAGACTGGAAAGGGTAGTAGAGGGTGGGGATGGGGATGAGTATGGCTAATGGGTACAAAAAATAGAAAGAATGAGTAAGACCTATGATTTGATAGCATGATAGGATGACTATAGTCAATAATAACTTAATTGCATTGTTTAAATAACTTAAAGAATGTAAAAGGATTGTTTGTAACTCAAAGGATAAATGCTTAAAAGGATGAATACCCCATTCTCCATGATGTGCTTATTTCACATTCCAGGCCTGTAAGAAAACATGTCACATACCCTGTAAATATATACATCTACTATGTAATCACAAAATTATTTTTGGCCGGGTGCGGTGGCTCATGCCTGTAATCCCAGCACTTTGGGAGGCCGAGGCAGGTGGATCACGAGCTCAGGAGATCGAGACCATCCTGGCTAACACGGTGGAACCCTGTCTCTACTAAACAAAATACAGAAAATTAGCTGGGCGTGATGGCAGGCACCTGTAGTCCCAGCTACTCGGGAGGCTGAGGCAGGAGAATGGCGTGAACCCGAGAGGCAGAGCTTGCAGTGAGCCAAGAATGCGCCACTGACTCCAGCCTGGGTGACAGAGTGAGACTCCGTCTCAAAAAAAAAAAAAAAAAAAAAAAGACATGCACTTATATGTTCATCAGAACACTATTTATAATAGCAGTGACATGGAATCAACCTAGATGCATGTCAAGACTAGACTGGATAAAGAAAATGTGGTACATATACATGATGAAATACTACACAGCCATAAAAAGAATGAAATCGTGTTCTCTGGAGCAACATGGATACAGCTGGAGGCCATTTCCTAAGCAAATTAATGCAGAAACAGAAAACCAAATACCACATATTCTCATTTATAAGTGGGAGCTGAACACTGAGTACACATAGACACAAAGATGGTAGCAATAGACCTTGGGGACTACTGGTTTGGGGAGGGTGGCAGGGGATCGAAGGCTGAAAAACTACCTTTTGGTTATTATGCTCATTACCTGGGTGATAGAATCATTCATACACCAAACCTCAGTGACCCACAATTTACTCATGTAATGAACCTGCACATCTACCCCTGAGTCAAAAATGAAAATTGAAAAAAATATACTAGATGAATAGTTTCGTTTTGTAAATATTGAGTATGTTTTAATTTTTATTTTAAAAGCAATTACAAGAAGGTATATATGTAGAATTAGCCCAGAATCCTGTTATATTCAAAAGTGTACATTGATTTTGTTGTAAATCATTTCCTTGTCTTAGATTTGGGAAAAGTTCTCTGTACTTCAGGAAGTTGAATTACCACACACACACACACGCACAAACACACACACACGCACACACACACACACGTTTTTATCTTCCAAGTTGCCTTTGCTGAAACTTGTTTCTCAGTAGGCTTCCAAGCGGGTGCATGTGGCTCCACGACAAGGTGTGTCAGATTATATCAGTCATGATGCTCCACATGATATCATGAATCAGAGTAGAGTATAGACAATGAAAAGCAAGGTGTCACTTCCCAACATGAGGTCTCAGTTGGGAAAGTCTCAGAAACCCTCAAACCTATTATTAAAAGGAACACAAGTTGGAGATGAGAAGTTCAGCGTGCTGGACTCCTTAAATTTATTTGGTACAGAATTTTATCTCCAAAAAGTTAGAACATGTGGGAGTAAGCAAAAATGACAAAGTTGGGTCAAGAGATGAGTCAGTTTGGAGATAGATTAAAATTCTCCTCTTAACTCAGTTGAAGTTTCATCTCAAGTGTCACTTGGTAAAATCTTTGACTTATTTGAACATTACTTTAAAAATATGTTTCAAGTTAGAAAAAAATCTATCTTGGCTTTTCAACTGATGATACAATCTATTCTAATATTACTTAAATCTACATAGTGCTTATTACTTTTTAGAAACAAATATTTTTGTTTTTGCATTATTTTGTTATGTTATTTGTATCAAATGGCACCTATGATCTTCACAACAACTCTGTGTTTATGTGATATCATTTCAAGTAGAGAAACTTGAGATCTGGCTTGGTTAAAAAGCAGATCCAGATGTAAAGAGAACAGAGATCCAGTTAGTAAAGTAGTAAAACTATAGAATTGGAAGTTTTCTTGGAAATCATCTAATTCCTTAGAATACTATTTCCACAATATGTTCTGAAAAAATAGTTCTGCTACCATAGAAATATGAGTAATGATGCATTCTATACCCTCATCTGGAGAGGCTCATTGTATTTATGTTCAAGACCTAAGAATTACTAAAAAAATTAATAAAAAGCTTATTTAACTTTTTTATTCATTGTTTCCCCAAGGAACTACAGTGTGATGGTGACAGCTCAAACAGATTTGGCTTAGAATCCTAACTTTACTATTAATTAACTGTATGTACTTGGCAAATCAATTTGTATCCCTAAGCCTCAAATTCCTCATCAATTATCCCTCAGATGAAGACTAATATTACTTACCATCTAAGGTAGGGGTGACGATTAAATTTAAAAAAATGATGAAAGTGTTTTTAGCTTTATAGGAACTCAGGAATAGTATGTTCTTTTCAAATGGTAGCTTAATTATCTACAAGATAAATCTGTGATGAAAATGTCACAGGATAACATAGTTTTTGTAGGTGTGAACTGCAATACATAATTTTGCAAGAAAAATTTAACAAATTATCAGGGAAAGTAAGTGCCATTTGCAATACATTGGGCCACTAGAAAGACATGAAGTCTTTTGACTTCTAGTATCATCTTCTATCCATTGCAGGTTAGTCATTTTTCATGAATTGTGGATTAGGTTGCATACAGTATTGATAAGGATATTCTATTTGGTATTGTATCATCTAGGTTCAGTTTCTAACTTGTCATTTCCTAGTAGTATAAACTGAGGCAAGTGACTTCTCTTTTGAGCCAGTTTGTCTATTTGCTAACCATAAACTACAGTATTATTTCTCCTTATCTGATGAGTTGTAGAAGATAATTAAACTATCAAAAAAGTACTTATGAAGGGCTTTCTGTATCTTAGACATATTCTCAAGTGTCTCACATAAATTGGTGACTGTTCATGAAAATGCTGTACATGCTATAAAGGAATATGTAAACATTAGCTAATATCAGTTGTGTTCTGAGTAGTTAACTAAATATCTGTATGATTTCAATGCCCAGTAATTATGTGGAGGAGGAAAATAGGATATACTCAGTCCTAAGTAATTTTTAACTCTTAAAGAAGATTTTAAAATTTATTCTATTATCAAATTTCAAACCATCCAAGAGTCCAGGCTCATTTTGCCCTGTGCTTTATGTCTTTTCATAGCTCAAAACCTCAGGGTATCTGTCCCTAAGCAACTGTAGATGCAGACTTACCAGAGCTACTTAAAACATTTGTGAATGAGCCTAACAGAAGTTAGAATACAGGGTCGGCGTGGTGGTTTACGCCTATAATCTCAGCACTTTGGGAGGCTGAGGTGGTCAGATCACCTAGGGTCGGGAGTTTGAGACCAGCCTGGCTAATATAGTGAAACGGCCGTCTCTACTAAAAATACATAAAAATATTAGCTGGACAGGGTGGAAGTTGCCTGTAATCCCAGCTACTCGGGAGGCTAAGCCAGGAGAATCGCAGACGTTACAGTGAGCCAAGATGGCTCCCCTGTACTGTAGCCTGGGCGACAGAGCAAGACTCTGCCTCAAAAATAAATAAATACATAAATAAAAAATAAAAAAAGAAAAGTTAGAATACAGGTTATTATTCTGATTTTTCAGGTGAGGAAATCGAGGTTTCAGACAGGCTAACTGACAGAAAATTGTAGAGCCAGGACATGCATGGAAGTTTCAAATTTAAAGTGTAAGCCACCTTATACTATGTTTGAGGTATGAAGAAGAAAAAATAACGACAGATGATTTCTAGAGCTCAAACTCTATAAGATCAATTTTATTTAAGGGTTAAGCTAATTTACTTTGTAAAATGATCCCTGCACATATATTATTGATTTAAAAGATATATATATATATATTTGAAAAAGTTTTATATAAATGACAAATGATCCTCAACTTACAAAGGGTTACATCCTGATACATCCATCATAAGTTGAAATAAATTGAAAATGCGTTTAATATACCTAACCTACCAAGCCTCATAGCTTAGACTCGCCTACCTTAAACATGCTCAGAACGTTTACATTAACTGACAGGCAAAATCATCTAACACAGTCTATTTTATAATGAATTGTTGAATATCTCATGTGATGTATTGAATATTGTACTGATAGTGAATGAAAAACAGAGTGGTTGTATGGGTACTCAAAGTCCAATGATGTCTACCAAATGCATATCACTTTTACCACATCATAAAGTTGAAAAATCCTGTTTAACCATCTTAGGTCAGAAATCATCTGAACTTTATTTATTTATTTATTTATTTTTAGCAATTTAGGTTCACAGCAAAATTGAGAGGAAGGAATAGAGATTGTCCATATAACCAATGATTGTGCATCTGTATAGCCTCCCCCACTATCAACATCTTCAACCAGAGTGGTACATTTGTTACAATTGATGAGCCTACCTTGGCATATCATCACCCAAAGTCGATAGTTTACATTAGGATTCACTTTTGCTGTTGTGCATTCTATGGATTTGGACAAAGGTATATCCACCATTATAGACTCATGCTGTAAAATTTCTCTATGCTCTGCCTATTTATCCCTTCCTCTCCCCTAAACCCTGGAAACCACTGATCGTTTTACTGTCTCCACATTTTCCTCTTCAGAAATGTCATATAGTTGGAATTAGATAATATGTAGATTTTCTGATTGGCTTCTTTCACTTAGTAAGATGCACTAAGTTTCCTCCATGTCTTTTCATGGCTTGATAGCTCACTTTTAGTGCTGAATAAGAGTCCATTGTCCGGATATATCACAGTTTATCCATTCACCTACCGAAAAACATCTTGGTTGCTTCCATGTTTTGACAACTATGAATGAGACTACTATAAGCATCCATGTGCAGGATGGATAATGTTGAGTCTTCCTGTCCATAAACAAGAAATATTTCTCCCTTTATGTAGTTCTGCAATTTCTTTCATCAGACTTTTATAGTCTTCCTCATATAGGTCTTATACATGTTTTCTTAGACTTATACTAAGGTATTTTATTTTTTTAGGGGCTTGCTGTTTTTGTGTGGAAATAAGTTTTGAACTCCTTTGCATGGATGCCAAGGAGCATGGTTGCTGTATCTTGTGGTAAAAGTATGTTTATTTAGTAAGAAACAACAAAACTGTTTTCCTAGGTGGCTGTACTATTTTATATTCCCAGAGATATTTCTAATAATGTTGCTTCACATCATTGACAACATTTGATGCTGCCAGTCTTCTGAATTTTGGCCATTCTAATAGGTGTGTAGTCATGTTTCATTGTTTTAATTTGCATTTCCCAGATGATATGTGATGTGGAACATTTTTTCATATGCTTATTTGCGATTTGTTTCTCTTCTTTAGTGAAGTGTGTGTCAAGGTGTTTGACCCACTTTTTAGTTGATTGTTTGTTTTCTCATTGTTGGGTTTTAAGAGGTCTCTGTATTTTTTGGATAACCGTCCTTTGTGAGATATATTTTGTTTGAAAATATCTTCTCCCAGTCAGTGGCGTTTCTTTTTATTCTCTTGACAATGTTTTTTGCAGAGCAGAGTTTTTAACTTTAATGAAGTCCCGATATCCATACTTTCTGTCATGAATCATGCCTTTAGTGTCATACATAAAAATTCACCACCAAATCCATGGTCGTCTAAATGTTCTCCTATATTATCTTCTAGGAACTTTATAGTTTTGTGTTTTACATTTAAGTCTGTGCTCCATTTTGAGTTAATTTTTGTGATGGTTGTAAGGTTTTTGTTCAGATTCATTGTTTTGCAGGTTGAGGTCCAGTTACTGCAACATCAGTATTGAAAAGATGATTTTGCTTCATTGCACTGCCTTTGCTTCTTCGTCAAAGGTAAGTTGGCTATGTTTTTGCAGATCTATTTCTGGGCTCCTTTTATGTTTCAGTGATTTATTTGTTTATTCTTTCACCAATAAGACTCTGATTACTTGATTACCATAGCTTTACAGGGAGAAAGTCAGGTAGTGTCTGTCCTCTAACTTTGTTCTTCTCCTCCCATGTTATGTTGAATAGTCTTGTTTTTGGCCTCACTGTATAAATTTTAGAATCAGCATTTCAATATCCATATATGAACTTGCTAGGATTTTGTCTAGGATTGCATTGAATCTATAGATCAAGTTGGGAAGAACTGACATTTTTACAACATTTACGTGAATGTGAAATATCTCTCCATTTATGTAGTTCTTCTGCTATCTCTTTCATCAGATTTTTGCAGTTTTCCTCATGTGGGTCTTGAACATATTTTCTTAGATTTATACAAAAATATTTTATTTTGTCAGGTGTTAATGTAAATGGTAATGTGTTTTTAATTTCAAATTCCACATGTTATTTTTTGGTATATAGGAAAACAATTGTCTTTTGTATATTAACGCTTTATCCTGCAACCTTGCTATAGTCACTTACTAGTTTCAGGGGATTTTGTTGATTCTTTCTCCTCTGCTGGAAAAATGAGGTTTTCTCCAATATTTACTGTGAGAACCTTTTAGAGCTCCAAGAGATAAAACTCACAAAAGCATGGAGGTTCACCAGTGCATTTAATACACCTAACCTACCCAACCTCATACGGTCTCCTAGAGTTTTGAACTCTCAGAATTGTCCATACTGGACCTTCAGCAATTTGTCCACTATAATTTAGATTTTTCTACATTGGCAACTGATTCCTCTGGAAGTTTCTGCTTGTGGGCTTCTGCTCTTAGGACTTTTAAATTATTGGGGAAGTTTAAAATAATGGCACATTGATTTTCTATTGAGTAATTGATAGAAGTGGCTCCTTCTCTCAGGAATACCCTTAAAGAATGTTCTTTTCTGGGATGATGCCTAGATAAACACAAAAGTAAGCCAATGCATATTTGATTTGCAATTTATTTTTATTTCTTCTTTTGTATTGCTCCCTTTAACCCTCACTTATTTTTTATTATTCATTGTCTCTCACCCTGAATATGAGTTTCAGAAGGGTCATTGTCATCTTGTCAAGGACTGAAGAGCTGTTTCCCTTGAGTTTCTCAGAACCTGAGGCACCAGAGTTAACACTGATTCAGATTAGCTCTGGGTCAGTTGTGCTGCAAGGAGAGGGTTTTAACTCCTTGTAGACCTGGTTTCTTTCTTTGAGTGAGTCTAAGGAAAACCTATTCACAGAATTTCTTTTTCCCTGATGTTTCCAGCTCACTTCCTGCCCTCTCTACTGAACAGGCCATATTTTCTCTCCTCAGCCTGCAAGCTTCTGTTCTCTGCCTGGCTGCACTCACCGTCTTCCTATGGCACCTCAGGGAATTGCCCTCTTATTACCACAATTACAATCTGTACACATTTCATTAAACTAATATCGCTTTGCACAGGCTTTCTTCACAGAACTGCACAGCTGGAGGCCCATTTCTTTTCCTCAGCTTAAACACTTTGACAGGTTAAGAAAGCTATTATGGCTGAATAACAGGTGTTGCAAAACAATGTGCATTTGATGTTTAAATGAGAGCGCTTCTTTATTGACTGCCTTTATTGCAGCTAAGGCTCTCCTTTTTCATGATGACTGAATTTTTATTGTTTTTACTGCTTTTTAAAGTGCATTCTGTTGTTTCAGAATAGGTCCGAAATGACTATATGTGGTTATTTGTTATTCTGCTGTCCTTTGCTTTTTTTATTATTAGTATTATTTGTGCTTCTTGGTTTCCTTTCCAGGTGAAGAATAGTTTCAGAAATGCAAGGATCTTATTGGGTGTCTATCTCTATACAGAGGCACACCTACTCATAAACAACTCTCAGAGGGCTTCTAAGGGTATCTGTCTCCATTATTTTGCCTCTGTTTATATTGTCTACCTCAGTCTACTCCTCCACCTTCCAGTGACCCAATGAATTGGTTTCCAAATGAGAAACAATAAAATGCAGACAGAAGGATGTCTTCCTGTTAGAAGTTCCTTATCTGAATAGTACTATTGCATTCTTTGTCCAAAACCTTACAGCATAGAACATTAGTATTTATCCTTTATCTCTTGACATATTGTATATTTTTCTTTACCTTCACCAGTGTTAACCAAGTCTTTATTCCTTTTCTCTATTTCCTTACAGAATATCATGCTCAGCAGGATATGGTTGGTTTTATTATTTCAATAAGATGACTTTTGCTGAAGAGATAGTCAAGTGTTAAAATACTATTTTTAAAGGCAAGTGTTCAGTGAGAGAGAACATATGATTATGAAAGCATGGAAACAAATGGAAATAAAAGATGGCTTTGAAATATTTAGATTTGTCCTTTTACAGTATCTAGCATAGTGCTTTTCATATTACAGTCACTGAAAAATGCTTATTAACTCAACTATAATGCATAATGTACTTTTTAAAAGCAAAATTTAGATTTCATGTTTACTTACATTTTATGATAGTAAAAAGCAGGAAGCAAAAAAGAGGGGACGAGAAAAAGCTCATTGTTTCATTTAGATGAATATTTTTAATTCTCTACTGTATTCAACATTCAACTGTAATCATTATAATTACTTCCCGTTCATTTTTGTGAGGTCAAATGCAGTCATTTCTGTGATGAAGTAAGATACACATTTTACCCAACTTATGTGTACTGCCACCAGCACTGGGACAGTGCCTCTTTCACTGTACGTCTTCAGGATCTACAGCATTTCTTAATATAAAGCAAGTGCTCAATAGTGATTGTTGGATGGATTATCCTTACTCCTTTCGGATATGATGCATTCTTACCTAGATTTCAAATGGTTTGAGGACTTCTTCAGATTCTAAGTACAATTTTGTAGACATGCCTAGAAATGAGGGGTAGTGAGATTCTTGGTTTTTATTTGATTCTTAAAGGAATCTGTGATTCCAAAAAGTTCATAAACCCCTACTTTAGAGAGAAGTACTCAGAATGGCAGTTTAATAAACATTTGGTAAATAAAGAATTATCGATTGAGCCAGTAGCTTGAGTACTTTTTATTTTATTTTAAAGTTATGCCTAGTTGGACATGGCATTTAGAAAACGGGGTAAGTTTTATCCGACCTGATTTTATTTATTTATTTATTTATTTTGAGATGGAGTCTCACTCCGTCACCCAGGCTAGAGTACAGTGGCGCGATCTCGGCTCACTGCAACCTCTACCTCCCGGGTTCAAGCGATTCTCCTGTCTCAGCCTCCTGAGTAGCTGGGACTGCAGGTGCATGCCAACACATCCGGCTAATTTTTGTATTTTTGGTACAGATGGCCAGGATGGTCTTAATTTCTTGACCTCGTGATCTGCCCGCCTCGGCCTCCCAAAGTGCTGGGATTACAGGCATGAGCCACAGTCCCTGGCCGCCTTATGTGATCTTATAAAAATATGCTCTTAGATTGTTTGTTTCTCTCCAGAGCCAGAGACTGACTGATTCTCCAATCTACAGTTGTGAGACAGATGTATATTTTTAATAATAGTACTAAAACTTATATTCTCTTTAAGCTCTTTACAGTTAAAAATTCTTTCTTATTTAAAATACTACCAAAATCCATCTCACTAGAGTATTGATTCATCAATATCCCTGGAAACAGGAGAGGCCAGTTTTATTTTCAAGGATTTCCAAGTATAGCATATGTCTAAATCTCTATGATATCTAACTATATTATTATTATTTTAATGTTAGTAACCTTACATTTATGAGGCACATTTCCTCTAAGAATTTCAATGAATTTCATGAAACTAGTGTAGAGCTGTTATTCTCCTCACTTAACAGTAAGGAAACTAAAATGTAGATATTGTTCAACCATTTTTCTCATGGTTATTTGGACCATCAGTGGGGATACAAATCAACTAATAACGCTGGGTTTTTAGTTTGTTGTTTATTTCTAAAATAATAAATATGAAAATAATTTTATTTTATCTTTTTTTAATTTTTTGAGACAGAGTCTTACTCTGTTGCCCAAGCTAGAGTGCAGTGGTGTGATCTCGGCTCACTGCCACCTCCACCTCCTGGGTTCAAGCAATTCTCCTGCCTCAGCCTCCCAAGTAGCTGGGACTACAGGTGCGTGCCACCACGCCCAGCTAATTTTTGTATTTTAAGTAGAGACAGGATTTCACCATGTTGGCCAGGCTAGTCTTGAACTCCTGTCCTCAAGTGATCCACCCATCTCAGCTTCCTAAAGTGCTAGGATTATAGGTATGAGCCACTATGCCCGGCTGAAAATAATTTTAAAAATACGTGTTTATAACTTTAGAAATATCTTTACCAAAAAACCTCCTAATATATATTTGTCTTTCTGGTTTAAAACTAAGAAAAAAAATACCTTAGGAAATTTGTTTTAAAATCAAAGCAAAAATATTTTGATATCTTTTAGCCAAAATGTTAAATAAAATGTTACAAATACCTACCAGTATATTCAGATATAGTAAAATAGTAAGTGATATAGTAGTTTGTGGAAGTACATTATAATAGCTTCTTAAAATTATCTGCTTTCCTCAGATAATTCCATAGATGCGGGTAATGCATGACTTTTTTGGAAAGGCTTGGCTTTAATGAAAGATAATATCAGAGTGAGAGGATTTTGATTTTTTCTTTAAGTTTCAATTATATTAACTAATGCTTTAGTATGACATGGATTCCTTTTATTAGTGTTATACTTTAGGTCGTTCTGAAACTTTGCATCTTTGGATATTTATGTGAAGGAGTATGAAAACGTTCAATTTGGTTTTGCCTCTGTACATCCCACCCTTCTGAATGTTATTATAAGGTATGACTATGTTTGAACAGATTCTCCGATTCAGCCTATTGAAAATAATAGAATCAGTTGCCCATAACAGTTCTGTTAATTAGATTGTATCTGTGCTGTCTTTCTCTTGTCCTAGAAATTCATCTTCTTGAAAGCATTTGTGTTACTGAAAGCAATGGAGCCTGGTACTGCTGGCCATTACCTTTACTTCATTTACATTATTGTCCAATATTTTTTCCCCAATTTCACTTCTCTCCCCTGAATTCCCCATCACTCCACTGCATCTCATCAAGCACTATCTCAGCCACACAGAGGTAGCCTGCTGTGCAAAAATGAACTGGGTACAAAACACAGGTTCCCACGTCTGGGGCTTTCCAGGCTTGTTCCTAAGCCAGCAGCAGCTGGGCTGACCCAGATACAGGAACTGTTTTTCTCTCTGTGTGTTTGAACTGTTCCAGGAATGACCATTGTTGCATTACTACTGGGATTTGAAAACACAGCGTGATCCCTGTGGGTGGTACAATTTCCTCTGAGGAAGAACGAGGGCACAATGAGAAACTTAAAGCCCCAAAGAGCAAGAGGGTGAGTGTAGCAAAGCAGAAAATACTTGCTTGGTGCTCCACTGTGGCAGCAAGTATTCCTTTCTGCATGTGTTGGAACAGTAAGAGAATTACACTCACTTGCTTGGTTATGGGCAACAGGCACGAAGAAAATGCTGTTCTCAAATACTATAAGGGAAACTGGAGAATTTATTCAGTCTAGGGGTTAAGTCTAAGCAGACAAGATGGAATAAAAAATATGATTCATTTCATAGTAAAATTCATTTTCTACCCAGTAAATGCCAACATAAAGAATCCCTAGTCATGGAATGAAAATAAATAAATTCCTTTTTTGTGTGTGTGGCTTCTGTTGAAAAACAACTTTAGCTATTAGTCAATATCCCTAAGAGGTATTCTTTATCTAAACCAGTGGTTCTTTTTTTTTTTTTTTTTGAGACGGAGTCTCGCTCTGTCGCCCAGGCTGGAGTGCAGTGGCGGGATCTCGGCTCACTGCAAGCTCCGCCTCCCGGGTTCACGCCATTCTCCTGCCTCAGCCTCCCAAGTAGCTGGGACTACAGGCGCCCGCCACTACGCCCGGCTAATTTTTTGTATTTTTAGTAGAGACAGGGTTTCACCGTTTTAGCCGGGATGGTCTCGATCTCCTGACCTCGTGATCCGCCCGCCTCGGCCTCCCAAAGTGCTGGGATTACAGGCGTGAGCCACCGCGCCCGGCCCCAGTGGTTCTTAAACTCAGACATATATTAAAATCACATGGGTACTTGGTGAAACTACAGACTCGAGTTCTATCTGACACACAGGAGCCTGCAACTCTGAACTCTCTGTTAGAGCTCCAGGTGATTTTGCCACACACACAGGTTTGAGAACCACTAATCCAAAATGTGTGGGGGAAGAGCCAAAACCCCTCAAGACTTCACACTAATTTATTTTAAAATTTTTCTACCTTTTTAAGTTATATAATTTAATAATTTTTGACCCATCTTTAACTGTCACTTTCATATGCTGGAAATACGGCCATATTCTCTTTTTGAAAAAATGCAATATGCTATAGCTTTATACCAGATATACATGACAAAAAAGACATATAATCAATTTAACAAACAATTACTTAACTTCTTATCTTACTTTAACTTAGGTACCTTGGATAACCAGAAACCATACTATACAAAGTGATCTATATACTCAATGCAATCTCTATCAAAATTTCAGTGTCATTTTTCACAAAATTCATCCTCTTGGCTCTTTCTTTGCTTTTATTTTAGAGTAAATTGACAAATCATAACTGTTTATGAGATACAAAGTGATGTTATAATACATAAGATTATGATATATAGGTAATACAACGTGGGATGATTAAATCAAGCTAATTAATATATCTGTTACCGCAAATACTTATCAGTTTTGTGATAAGAACATGTGAAATTTACTTTCTTAGTAATTTCAATATATACAATTTTAATTACCATAATCACCATGCTGTTCGATAGATATCAAAAAATGTATTCCTCCTATGTAACTGAAACTTTATACCCTTTGAGTGACATCTCTCCATACCCTCGACCCCCAGCTTCCAGAACCATTTTTCTACTCCCTGCTTCTGGGTTGGATTATTTTAGATTCCATGTATAAGTGAGATCATGTGCTATTTGTCTTTCCATGCTTGACTTATTTCATGTAGCATAATGTCCTCCAAGTTAACCCATGTTGTCACAAATGACAGGATTTCTTATTTTTAAGGTTGAATAGTACTCCATTGAGTATATATACCATATTTTCCTTATCCATTCGTCCATGGATGGACACTTAGATTAATTCCATACCTTGGCTAGTATGAATAATGCTGCAAAGGACATGGGAGTACAAATATCTCTTCAACCTACTGATGTTAGTTCCTTTAGATTTATGCCCAGTTGCGGGATTGCTGAATCATATGGTAGTTCTATTTTTCATTTTTTGAGGAAACTTCATACAGTTTTCCATAGTGTCTGCACCAACTTACATTCTCACCAACAGGGTACAAGGATTCCCTTTTATCTTGCCAACACTTGCTATCTCTTGTCTTTTTGATAATATCCATTCTGACAGGTGTGAAGTGATAGCTCATTGTGATTTTAATTTGCATTTCCCAGATAATTAGTGATGTTGAACATTTTTTCATAGACCTGTCATTTTTATGTCTTCTTTTGAGAGATGTATATCCAGGTCCTTTGCCCATTTTTTAATTAGGTTGTTTTATATCTATTGAGTTGTTAGAGTTCCTTACGTATTTTGGATATTAACCCCTTATCAGATGTATGGTTTGCAAAAATTTTCTCCCACTCTGAGGGTTATATCTTTACTCTGCTAATTGTTTCCTTGGTTGTGTGGAAGCTTTTTAGTTTGATGTAATCTCATTTGTCTACTTTTACTTTTGTTACCTGAGTTTTGGAGTCACAAAATCATTGCCCAAAGTAATGTTGTGTAGTTTCCTCTCTGTGTTTTCTTCTGGTAGACAGTTCAGGTCTTGCATATAAGTCTTTAATCCATTTTGAGTAGATTTTTTGTATGGTATGAGAAAAAGGGTCCAGTTTTATTCTTCTGCATGTGGACATCTAGTTATTCTCAACACACTTTATTGAAGAGACTGTCTTTTTTTTTGTTGTGTGTTCTTGATACTTTTGTTGAAAATCAATTGACTGTTAACGTGTATTCATTAATGGGCTCTCTATATTCTG
This sequence comes from Homo sapiens, assembly GCF_000001405.40. Lineage (NCBI taxonomy): Eukaryota > Metazoa > Chordata > Mammalia > Primates > Hominidae > Homo > Homo sapiens. The sequence continues at coordinate 97,232,908 of NC_000004.12, read as the reverse complement.
TTCTACTGGTTGATTTGTCTACTTTTGTGCCAGTATCATGCTGTTTTAATTCTATAGCTTTCTAGTATAGTTTGACATCAGGCAGTGTGATACTTTCAGCTTTTTTCATTTTGCTCAAGATTGCCTTGGCTACTTGGGTTTTTTTGTAGTGCCATAGGAGTTTTAAGTCTTTTTTTCTTCTATTTTGTGAAAAATGACATTGAAATTTTGATAGAGATTGCATTGAATATATAGATCACTTTGTATCATATGGCTTCTGGTTATCCAAGGTACCTAAGTTAAAGTAAGGTAAGTAGTTAAAGTAGTTAAGTTTAAGTAATTGTTTGTTAAACTGATTATATGTCTTTTTTGCCATGTATATCTGGTATAAAGATATAGCATATTGCATTTTTTCGAAAAGAGGACATGACCATATTTCCAGTCTCATATGCTCTTCCAGAACCTTGCCACTTCCTCAATCAAGAGGTAGAGTGTGTTTATTCTCCACTAAAAATCGGGCAGGTCTTTGAAGATAATGTAACTTCTCTCTCTCTCTTTCTTTCTCTGTCTTCCTTTGAATACTCACCATTGTTACCTAGCCACCGTGTCATGAAGAATTTCAGGGTACATGTAGGTATTCTGACCAATATCTCCAGCTAAGGACTCAATTGATATAATAACAATAGCTTCCAGACATGTGAGTTATCAAAAACCTTCAGATGATTAGAGCTTTCAGCCTTTGAGCTACTTTACATGGTAATGAACAGAGAAGAGACAAGCTATCCTTGATGAGCCCTATTCAAATTACATATTCCAGAACAAAATAAATGTTGTTTTAAGCCACTAAGATTTGAGGTAGTTTGTTGTTAATATCAATTAACCAAAACCACACACTCTTCACTATTTTTCATATATTACAATATTAACTGATATGGTGATTTCTCATAATTCTGTTAACTTTTGTTTTCCACATTTTAGAGTTACGTAATTAGGTACATGAATGTTTAGAATTATATATTTCTGCTGAATCAATCAATATTTATTATTCCTGAGAGTTTTTTTTTTTATCTTAGAGCATCATTTATTTCATTTTTATGTAGCCAAATCTGTTGCATTCTGGGTAATATATGCCTAGTATATTTTACCCATTCTGGGTTTAGTTTTCAAACTTTCTTTGGCTTTATTATTTAGGCATGTTTCTTGTAAAAAAAAAAAAACTATAGCTGGATTGTTTAAAAATGTGAATTATTTATTTCCAACTAGTAAATTTAATTCATTTATACTTACTGTGATTATCAACATATTTGTTTTTGTTATACCATTTTATTTTCTACTTTATTTTTATCCATATATCTCCATTCTTCCCAGCTTCCTTTTCCCTTGCTATTATTCATTATCCATTTATTTTTTTTTTCACTTTGGAAAGTCTATTTTTTAGTGTATACTCACATTTTTAGGTTGCATATATAACAAAGTCTGAAGTGAATCCATGTTTCAACTTTCTTATTGAGCAATACAAGAAATAGAAAACTTTAACCTTGCTCATCCCCTTATACCTTTCACCATTGTTCTGTATTTTAATTCCATTTTGTTATTCTAATTTTATAGACTAGTCATATTTTGTCATTGTTTTATGCAGCAAGTATCTAACACAGGCTAGCCAAAGTTTTTTTTTTTATCATTCCTTCTCATGTCACAGTGCAGTCTAGCTTTTGAGATTAAATTTCTATTTTCCTGAGATGGGGCTTTTAGAACATGCTTTAGCAATTTTGTTTGTAGTAAATTCATATTGTTTGTTAATTGGAAAATATCTTTATTTTGCCTTTATTCTTGAGTAATGGTTACAGAAGAAATTGTTAATACTCGTGAAATAACCAAGTACTCACTAATTGTTAATACTCACTAAATAACCAATCTCCAATTCACCAGTTAAATTTATTAATCTATCTGAAGGATTTATCTCAAATATATCCATTCTGCTTCATCAAATCATACTCCCTAATGAAGTTCCTTCTTGTTATTATCTGGATTACTGAAATATTCTCCTAAGTGTTTGCCTTTGCTTGCCTCTGTTGGAGATCAAAATGTGCCACATCAAAATATCACAATAGGAGACCAGAATATGCCATCTGAAAATATGCATTTTTGGCATAAAAATTATTTTGAGCTAAAAGCACTTAAGAAACAGAAACCCCAGGAAAAGTGCTGTCTACTCTTCCTCTTTTCTGCCTGTAGGCAGGATATAAATTCTTCTTTACTGGAAATGACTCTAGGCTTTTATCAATCCAGAGATGGCACCAGAAGAATCTGCAAACAAACCTTTATTAGTTTTCTCTCGTATATTTACCTTCCCATAGTTTGCTACCCTTGGAGACCTAAAACTGCTTTCTCTGTCCTGCCATTTTTCTACAAAGTTATTGTTCTTTTTAAAGATGCTATGTAAGCTGGAGTTCTAAGTCATCTTTTTGAGTTACTCATTTCTGGGTACTCCCTTATGTTACATGTGCAACACACATGTCAATAAACATGTTTGTTTTCCTCTTGTTAACTTGTCTTTCGTTACAGGGAACTCCAGCTGAAAACTCAGATGAATAGAGGAAAAAAATTTTTTCCCTTACACCTCTAATATAGTAGACTAATTTTTTAAAGATGTAAACTACTTTTGCAAAAATCACTTAATAGCTTAGAATAAAATGCATTTAGAGTAAAATCAAATATTTCACTTTAACTTATAAGGCCCTGCATGATTTCTTCCCTGCTCAGCTCTTGCAGCTACCATTCTCAGTCTCAAAATGAAAACTGGATATCCTAAGAAATATCCTAAGAAAACACAGCTAGAAAAATGAATACTAATGACTTTTTAATGTTTTTCAACCTGATATGCAATCCATAATTTGATCCCTCCCTAAATTTATTTTTGTTTCAACTTGGCTTTAACATGCATCATTAAAAGTAGCACTGTAATAATTTAGATCATCAATTGAACACAATTATGAAATATCTGAGATAGCCAATATGTTCCCATTGTTGATGAGCCCACTTATTGAGGCTTAAAGAGTTATCTCTATGATTCCCCAAATGTGGCTACTAAATTCATTATAAATATCAAAGGAGAATACAGACCACATCTGGAAGATGTGCTTCATTCCTTCAGACAATATTCAATTTAATTATTTTTAGCTCAAAGTATTTTTCCACTCAAAGCATATTGAAAAAATTGCCAGGAACTTAAAAACTTAATAGATAATAGACTTAACATTTTAATACATCCCTTTAAACTCATGAAATAAGTAAATAACAATGACAGCATCCTTAAGTAGGTAGATTATTGAAATGCATCATTGAAGTGCTATCTAATTGAACAGTTACTGAATTCCTTTTATTGTTTTTGTGTGGTCATTCTTCTTATATCACTTGGCCCTTCCAACCTTCAATAATATTACCTTCCCAATGAAGGTAATAATATTATCTTGGCCATTTTCTAACATTTGTGTAGCTTTCCATTGGTATGTATTAGAGCAGTGTTGTCTGAACTTATCTAATCATAGAAATTACTTAAAGAACATATTAAAAATACTAATTTCAGGTTCCTTTTCTGGAAATGCTTTCTAGAAGACACTGTCAGTCCACAATCTGTACCACTCTGCACTCACTTTCTAGCCTGTGTCTACTGCTTCCCACTATAAACAAGTGCAACTCTCCACCTGGGGGTTCTATTTTGGCCATGCATGTCAGACCGGAAGTGCTGGGGGCATTACTGCTCTTGAGAACAGCCCTCAACCAGTGACTAATCAGTGTTGGAGTCTCCTCATCCATTGGGTGGGATAAATATGAGATATATTTTACACGGTTCCAGAATTACCCAACAGTATTCAGGCTCAGCTATCCACAGGGGTAACCTGCTCAGTAATACACAACTTATTGCCTTATTGCCTCTCCTTCCCTGTTTCATTTCTCTGCTCCCTGACCATTCCTAGGCTCACCTTGCAAATGTGTCACTCCCTGACCATTCCAGACCTTCCTAGGATCACCTTGCAAATATACTACTTGCACTCAGATAATTTCCTCAGAAGGTTTTTGTGGGGAATCTGAACCTGATTTCAGAGAGTCTGACTAGATAGGTTTAGAGTAGAACAAGGTATCAGCTTATAACGAGCATCCCATATGACTCTTGTGATAAGATAAAAGTGGTATCTACTACAAAATAAAAACCTATATTTTCAATAGCTTTAAGCTTGATTCTCTCCAAAACTTCTGTGTGGTGGACAACTTAGCTATAAACTGTTCTCCTGTATATTTTCTTTGTTATCTTCCTGTATAATCTTCTAAAAAATTCTATATCTTTGCGTTCCAATCACCTTTTATTTTAGACATTTCTACCTCTTTGCGATTTCTGCTTATTGTCATGTCAATCTATAAGTTAACATACATTTAAAAATTTTAAACTTACAAGTTTCTGATACATTTAAAATTGTTTTGTCATATGAAAATCTCAATCTTATATAACCTGTAATACATTGCTAAGGAATCAGTATTGATGGAATTGTGTTCTCACAATTTCAATAAATTCTATGTTTTTTATATGATAGCTCAGATTGTTACATTGAATAAATTTTGTGATTATACAAAGTGAATAGTGGTAGGGAGAGGAAGAGACTTTTATCCAAAATGAGCATATAAAACCTTCCTTTTTAAAAAACATCTCCCCACTAGTGACTGCCGTGATGCATTTTCCAGATACCTCTTTAGGACTGAAAGATATATTTTCCCAGCTACTGGGGGTAGTGCTGACTTAGACAGCACTTATCCATAAGACCTCTCCAGAAATTGCCCTCAGGTAAAGAGAACTGTCTCAACCCAGACCATGTTCCTTTCTCATGGGCAGACTACACTCAATGTCTGATTGATAAATGGGTAGAAAGGTCTGGCCTCCTTCCCACAAGCTGGTCAAATATAAAGGATTATTCCAGTTTCAGAGCTCCCCAAGAGATTAGCTAAATCTGTGTAGACTGCATAACAACATAACATCTCCCTTGCTCAATTCTCCCTCCCTCCTTTTCTTGCACCTGGTGTTGATTCCAAGACCACTCCCCAGTACATATGTTGCATGTTGCTCTCCATCTCGGAATCTTCTTCCAGAAGAATCTAACTTGCAGCATTTGATTCTATGAGTAGTTGTAAGAATGTAGTTAGAAAACATGCTGAGATGAGATTCTGGAGCTGATCAATCTCTGGCTCTCTAGCATGAAGGACTTCCATCACTGATGATCAGTGGAGCACACATAGCTGCTGGCAGAAGGTGGCAAATGCAATCCTTAAAATGATCACTAGCAGTGATCTAGAATGATATGACTGTGGAAGGGATTGTATTAATGGGGCCAGTGTTTCAGGTAATTAAGAACAGTGAAGAAATATTAATTATAAAAATAATGGAATTATATGTCTATTGCTAGGTACAGTTGATGCCTTGGAAAAAGATAACAAAAGACTGGGAGGATTAACTGGGAATTAAAACTAAGTGTGAAAGCTAAGGGCCCTCCTGCTAGAATATAAAGAGGATCTCACTTCTTCAACCTTGAGAACAGAAATCTGCAGACCAAGTCTAGGCCTTAATCATAACTATAGCAGAGCTCCACAAAATGCCTAGTCAAGGATACTGTACAAAGATCAGGGCCCAGAGTCATGCAATGGTACATCCATGTTGAGGCACGCAAATAATGAATTATCAAATGTGCCTAATGCCTCTGAGCCTGGCAAAGTGGCTCACTCCTTCTTCTTAAGGGTTAGTGTTTCCCTTGGTTTGAGGAAGATGCAGTAGCTTCTACCTGCAAGAAAACATGACATACACACCCTCACCCCCACCTCTGAATCTTCCCTACCCCCATTCCTGGACACTAAGGCGATAATTAGGGCTAAGTCCTAATATAATCTGGCTAGGGAAGTGCTGTGCCTTTTAGTGGAGAAAAATAACTACACTTCCAAGAAGTGTGGAAGCTATGCAACATATGCCAGTAGGAACTGGGAGGATACTGACAGAATTAGGTTTTGAGGATGCTATCCCAATGGAAGAGAAGAACATAAAGTTGGACAAGTTATTAAAATGAGCTCACTGCCATGGGACACAGGACTTAACATCCTAACACAGATCTCAGGAACACACTTCTAGAATGTGCCTTAGAAAGTGAAAAAAAAAATCAAGGGACAGCACAAAATGAGATAGAAATACCCAAATACTCGTAGCAGGCAGAAAAGGAGGGACTTAAAGCCTCAACCAAGAGGGCATGTCAGAATAATTATACCATGTAAGGTCTGAAAGACCACCACAGATTCTGCTCCTTAGGAGCATCCAGTATTCATTACTTACTGAAGCAATAAAGAATGTATTGGCAATAAGAGAACCATATCACAAAGAAGCTCAGTCATGCCTGTCTCTGTCAGGCCAAGCTAATGGTAGGATATGCCATTATAGAACGGTGTTCCCTGAGAGCAATGGGAATGATAGAATTCCCAAATAATACAAGGCAGGTGGGGAGGAAGAACCAACAGAATCCAAGTGGATGTAATTATTGTAATTAGTGGCAAGGTAATGGTCAGGGAAAGGAAAGGGTGGCTTGACACATGGAGAGTTATGGAGATGGTTAATGGAGCATGGCTTCTTTAGGAGAAAGACAGGTGAATATATATTGAATATATATATTCAATATAAATAACCGAAAGCAATCAAGGATAATGATCAGAAGGTTGAGCGCAATTGTCCCAGTAAAATTTCATGATGTCTTGCCCAGTGTTCAGAACAGGAATCCATTGCCTGGTCATGCCACATACCACACCATCTAGAAGCTTTCAGCCTGATATAGTAATGGACTAATCTGTTGAAGGCACAGCTAAAGTGCCAGCTTATACACAACACTTTGAGAGCATAGGATGCTATCCTTCAGGATTCGGTGTAGACAGAAGTTGCTGTATCTCCAATAGGTAGATGATATGAATCCAAGAACCAAAGAGTAGAGGTAAAAGTGACTGTAACTCCCATTACTTCCAGTAACTCCTTTGGGAAATTAACGTTTCCCATTCCATCAACTCTGGGCTTCATGAGGTTAAAGGTTCTAATTTGCAAAGACAGAATGCCTCCATCTCAGCACACACCAAACATCTCAATGAACTGTAAGTTATGATTGTTGCCTGATATTGGGCTCCCTGTGCTGAGGGACCACCCTGGCAAGGGCAATTTACTCTGATAACCAGCCTGATTATACAAGAAAAACAGGAAGGAAAGTGTTTGGCACCAGGTGATTCACTTTGTTACCCATTGCTAGTCCCTTGCTTGCCATTGACGTAAGTGGGCTAATGCATAAAACGGCCTAAGAAGGCAGGCTTGCTTCCCATAGGAATCAGTATCATGGTCACATCACCTGGTAAGCCACCTAGACCAGCTGAAGTGCTAGCTGAGGATAGAAAAATCTAAAATATAGGATAGGAGGAAGACCATGAGTATCAGTTGTGATCCCACAATCAGCTGTAGCAGTGGGGCTATAGTTTTTCTCATTAATCTTCCTCTTCTAAGATTTCCTAAGGAAAATGGGCACACCAGAATCCTGGAGAATCTGCTCCAAGAACTGATACCAAGAATTGGATCTGAGAGGTAGAAGGAATGAATCGTAGTGGATGCTGCATTGTCTACATCTCCTTAGGACTCAAAGACTTAGTCTTCCAGGTGCCAGCTGATTACCTCCAGCTGTCAGGCCTCCTGGAAACTGGGCTCAGCTAGAGAGAACTGGCTTATCCAAGATCACACTCCCTTCCTGGGGAAGTCTACATTCAATGGACAGGTAAGTGTAAGACTATAAGACGCAGTTCCCTTTCTGTAACTCTGAAGGGTCATCTAGCTTCAGTTTCCTCTACGATTAGTTGAGGCCTTTTGTTGAGACAGGCATGGAGCCCAACATGTCTCCCTTTGCTCCATCCTGCTTCTTTCTCTTTCCTGCCACAGATGTTGATCCTGAGAACACTCCTCAATGCCAATGCACTTTCTGTGTGCTAATCTCCATCTCTGTCTCAGAGTCTCCTTTCTGGGGAATTCAACACTCTCAAGTTCTCTCTCCTTCTCAACTAATCTCTCTCAGATAGGATTAATTTGTTTCCTGTGTTAAAAATAAGCCACAGTAATCTCTCAAGTCACAACCTTTGCTCAGGATGGCTGGTTTCAATGCTTTCTTTTTCTTTTGTGCCAATCCAAGCTATATCCCACTTAGAAGGCACAAAGTATCAATTCACATTGAAATTTCCATGCTTGGATCATCTATCTACAAGGTTATTTGTAACCCTCCTTTCCACTTTACCTGAAAATAGTTTCTGTTTTCATGTAAATGTGTTTTTCTTCTAAATAAGAGAATTATCCCTTAAAATTTGAGATTATGTTTTATGCTTTCTTGAATTTTCTAATGAATCCTTTGTAAATCTAGGTAAGTCATAAAAGGGCAATACATTTTATTGATTTGTTGATTATCTAAATGAATATCACACACACCTTTACTTCTCTGCCTCTTCTCCCATAGCTATGTTTGAGTATTACCTTGAGGCATAGCCTCCCTCTCTGCCATCCCATTTCTAGCATCAATTAATGAATCAATTGTGGCAGAAAAAAAGCTTCAGCTATTGTGATTTCTCCTACATTTTCACATTTTAATTAGTGTCTGAATGAATAAATGATTAACTATATTAAGTACCCCCAGACCTAGAATCTATGGACTAAACCGTGATTAATGGATTATTTCATAAATGTATACACCCACTTGAACCCACCTCACCCCTGCACCAATTCTCCAATATCCCCATGTCTCATCTGTGGCAATCTAGATAAAAAATCTGGTGTACTAGCCATGAGAATGAAAAATAGTTGGCAGACGAGGTTCATTCTGCTTCTGGTTTTAGCATTTCCATCCTCACATGACACTGACTGTGCGCCTGTTTCCCATTCTACTCTACCTGGTAATCAAGGATGGTGGCCCTGCTCTGAATCTCAACCAGTACTAAGAGGCCTGCCGCTTGACTAATTCCTGCCAACTCTCCTACCCTACACTTAACTCTTTTTTGGCTTACCTCAGGCTCATGTCAGAAGGTCCTTCTCTGTACGGACAAATTGCCTGACACAATACTACTCCGCCTTATTTCAGAACTGATTTACTGCATAACCTTCCTTTATTGCTATGTCTCAGAATGCAGACTGGAATGCCTGGTCTGTAACACTGCCTATGCTTATGCTCCTTGGCACAGGGCTTTAAATACAAACTTGTTCTCTTGTGCTCTTTCTTCCCGGTTATTTGTATGGTGTGAGGGGAACTTCTTCAAGAAATATTACTTCCTCAGTTCCATTTGGGATGCCATTACCTCCCTTCCCTTCCCTTCCCTTCCCTTCCCTTCCCTCCCCTCCCCTCCCCTCCCCTCCCTTTTTTCTTTCTTTCTTTCCTTCCTTCCTTCCTTCCTTCCTTCCTTCCTTCCTTCCTTCCTTCCTTCCTTCCTTCTTTCTTTCTTTCTTTCTTTCTTTCTTTCTTTCTTTCTTTCTTTCTTTCTTTCTTTCTTTCTTCTTTCTTTGATGGAGTCTCACTCTGTAGGCCAGGATGGAGTGCAGTAATGTGATCTCAGCTCACTGCAATCTCCACCTCCCTTATTCAAGTGATTCTCCTGCCTCAGACTCCCAAGTAGCTGGGATTACAGGTGCCTGCCACCACGCCTGGCTAATTTTTGTATTTTTAGTAGAGACGGGGCTTTGCCATGCTGGCCAGGTTGGTCTCAAACTCCTGACCTCAAGCAATCCATCCGCCTCGGCCTCTCAAAGTGCTGGGATTACAGGCGTGAGCCACGGCACCCAGCCCCATTGCACTGATTTCTAATGGGTCTTCAGCTTTCTAGGATGTTAATTTGGTACGGCTTCCATAACAAAATACCACAGGCTGGATGGCTTAAATGACAAACATTTATTTCCTCACAGTTCTGGAGGCTGGAAGCCCAAAGTCAAGGTGTCTGCAGGTTTTGTTTCTTCTGTGGCCTCTCTCCTTGGCTTGCAGATGGCTGCCCTTTTTTTTAACTGTGTCCTCACATGGTATTTCTTCTGTTTGTGTGCTTCCCTGGTGTCTCTTCTTGTGACTTCATCTCCTCTTCTTAAAAAGACACTCATCAATTTGGATTAGGGCCTATCCTAATGGCTTCATTTTAACTTAACTCCTTAAAATCCCTATCTCCAAATACAGTCACATTCTGAGGTGCTGGGTATTAGAGCATCAACATAGGCATTTTAAAGTGGAAAAAATCAGCTCAGAACACCCAGTATGCACATTGCTCTGTGTTGCTGAAGTCTTAGCAGTTCTTACATTTAAGCAATCCCACTTAGCAATCTCTTATAAAGAAGCTTATAACTATTGAAAAACAAACTAAATAGCTGCCCACAATGTTTTGACAGTATTTCTATTATTAATGCAGTTTAGTCTCTGCAAATAAATTAGATTAATTTGCTAGCCTCCATTTTGATTAGTCAAATAAGCTGTTAATAACTCAAATGTACAAAACTCTTGCTTCCCTCGAATCCCACGTTTTTCTGTACATTCCAAGGAAACATACTATATTATACTTAAATGAATACATACTCATTTCAAAATCAGCAAATTGCTAATGGTTACAATGTGTGGCTTTGACTTCCGTTAGAAATTTTTCCTCTTCAAAATATGTCTACTCATTCTTGGTGTACTCTCAAGGAAAATGTAAGTATGAGTTTTCTGTGTGAGTGAATAAAAAAATCTTTTGTTTATATAGTCAAAGTATGTATAAAAGATTTATAATGACATAATGAGAATTTGAGAGGCCATGGAGATCCTGAAAACTTGGAAATATTTTTCTAAGATATCATATATTTATATATTCCTTTATAAGTTTATTGAACCTATGAATGAATTTTAATCCTACAGTATTCAGATACACAAACATTAAGATTATACGAATATAGCATCACAGTGAGATCTGTAAAGATTGTCTCTTTGTCACAGTGCTAAGGGAAGTACCAGGATTTGTGCTATTTTATCAATGCTCAGAGACTGACTATTCCTGATGGTAAATTATAGATGATAGATTTGTCAGGAAATTAAAATTCCCAGGAGTGAATATGAGAGGGCTATCTCTGAAGGATCTCTATTATTGACATCAGAGAAGAGAAAACTTGCAATGATATATAATTTTAATTGGACTCTGTTCTGACAGGCTGACCACTTGCCAATGGTTATCCTGGGAAAAAAAATAACATGAAGGGGTATAAAATTTGCTATACATCTTCCCAGGTTGCTTAGAAAAGCTGCGACAGTTTTTAATTCGTTCCAAATGCCCTTTGTTCTGGCCTTTCATCTGTAAAGTTACTTTGACAAAAAAGTAATAGACAGAGGGTCTGTCTGGCCAGTGTGAAATTGTCTAATGAGGAATCTGTACACTAGATTTCATATGAGTAATGGAAACAGTCCTTAGTCTGTGTACTATAATAGTATGTTTTCTTATTTCACTTTTTATTATGTGTTAACTGGAGAAAATACTTTAAAATAGCTTACTCAAAACTTCTTGTTTCAGGACTGAAAATCAAGAATGGAATGCAGTTAAATAAAACACTGAATCTACCTTGATAACATCATTATTACTGGGGCCCAGAAAGCCCTAAACCCTGGTGAACTTAATTATTAAGTTCTCTGATAGTTTCTGGAGAACAGAGGTGGCTCTCTAGGTTTCAGGTCCATTTGTTTTGGCCCTCAAGATGTTGGTTCTTGTAGGACTTAAAAAAATTAGCCAACTATTTTCACATAGGGCCTATTTTCCTTGTAAAACGAAATAGAAAGATTTGAGAATATTGTTTCCTCATTCCTGCATTACCTGTAAGACATCACCTCTGGGTTATCCTTAAAATATTAAAGGTAAAATGAAATTTGCTTTTATTTTGCAACTGTAAACTCTTTTTTCTAACTCTAAAAAGAATTATCAAAAGTTGAGTTAATTTAATTCATTTTCCTGATATGGTTATAGATGAAAGAAAAGTAGGTGTTTATTACCCTTTGCTCTGAGGTCCTCAAAAAGATATTCTACCTGTGATCAAGCAAGAGTCCATCAATGTAAGCTTGAAGTGATTATAATTATGGGTTTGATCATCATGTTACATCTTCTTCTTTTCACTTCAGTATGTCATTATTGAACACCTATACTAAGGTCTAATTGTGTCATGGCTTTGAGAGATGCAGAAGAGATATGAGACAGTATTTTCAAATGAGGATATTAAACTCTTAGCAAAATAGCAAATGCACAAATGAAATAGTACTAAAATAATATGAGATCTTGTATATTTAGAAACCAAAACAAATTTTATAGGTAATGTTATAACCTCAGGTAAGGAAGATATTAATTCAAACCAGAGCAAGTGGTAAAGATTTCACAGTCTCAGAAAACAGGAAAGAATATTCAAAATTGTCAAAATATGAAAGCTCCATGTCATAAATTCTACAAAAATATACACAAGGAGGCTAGTTTGCTATTAATAGTTTAGGGTAGTAATATGAGAAAAGGATAAATTATGAAACTGGCACAATTGTCCTGTAGAACTGATGTTTATGCTTTATTTTGAAAAAACATAGAAATTGACCTTACCAGTCTTAAAACATGAGAAAGTTACATTTGTCTTATCTGAATTCCTTTCTCAGAGGCCAACAATCAAAGAAATGAGACTTACCAGATCACCACATCTGGACAATGAGACACCAGACACCTTACCTGTCATGATTGCCTAACCGACCACTTGTTTCCTGTTGACCAAGTCCTCTTCCTTACCCCTCTCTAATCTGTGTTTTCCCACACATAGTTACATTTCTTCCCTGCTATATAAACTCCTAATTTTAATTGGTTGAGGAGATGGATTTGAAACTGATTTCCCATCTCCTCACTGAAGCACCTGAATAAAGCCTGCTTTCCTGGAAATACTCATTGTCTCAGTGATTGGTTTTCTGTGTGGCAAGCCACAGGACCTAGACCAAACCCCTGGTGTTTTGATAACAAATACACAGGGTATCAAAAGATTTGATGGAATTCAGTAGTTATTCCAGGCAAAGGAAAGTCTTATTTCCACAGTCACTTTTATTTCATTTTTGAAGATCTTTTGAGACAGGGTCTTACCCTGTTGCCCAGGCTGGACTGCAGTGGCATGATCTCAGCTCGCTGTAGCCTCAGCTTCCTGGAATCAAGTGATCCTCCCCTCTCAGACTCCCAAGTAGCTAGGACTACAGGTGCACACAGCCATGCCCGGCTAATTTTTATTTTATTTTGTTTTTTTGTAGAGACAGGGTTTCATCACGTTGCTCAGGTTGGTCTCAAACTCCTGAACTCAAGCAATCTTCCTGCCTTGGCCTCCCAAAGTACAAGGACTACAGGCATGAGACACTGTGCCCAGCCTATATTTTCAAATTTGGCATAACTCACTTGTGTCAATAGACATTGCATCATTGGAAAATTCATAATAAACTAAAGAAGTTTGGTCAAGGCACTGTAATATGGTTTGGCTCTGTGTCCCCACCCAAATCTCATCTCTAATCAAAATCCCCCTGTGTTGGGTGAGGGACCTGATGGGAGGTGATTGAATAATGGGGGCAGACTTCTCCCTTGCCATTCTTGTGATAGTGAGTAAGTTCTCACCAGATCTGGTCGTTTGAAAGTGTGTAGCACTTCCTGCTTCACACACTGTCTCCTGTCACCATGTGAAGATATATGTGCTCCCCTCTGCCTTACACCATGATTGTAAGTTTCCTGAGGTCTCTCAGTCAAGCTTCCTGTTAAGCATGAAAGCAGAGTCAATTAAACCTCTTTCATTTATAAATTTCCCAGTCTCAGATAATTCTTTGCAGCAGTGTGAAAATGGACTAATACACACTAAAACCATCTTAAGCAGCAATGATATAATGAAAACTATGTGATGTGATATGCTATGATACAGAAGGTGCACTAATGTCTCAGTCATCTCTGACATCTAGAGTAGTGAAGAAGAACTACTCTAAATCTCTTGTTCTTCTTCACTGCTCTAGATGTCATAGATGACTGACAAACCATTCATGTTAGGTCACAAAACTCATGAGGGACATATATGTGCCACTAACTGTGCACACACAGTCATTCAAAGATGAAGAAGACATAGCCTTGCCTTCAAGGATTTTATAATTGTGTTGAAGAGACAAACATACATGTTAACTTCTCTCTATGTAAAGAAAGAAATGTACTATTTATAGTGCAAGGATTAAGTACAAGAAGTGGAACAATGTGGGGATGCCACTCTCTCTGAGAGACTTAATAAAATGCTTCAATGCAAAAGGTAATTGCTAATTAGGATTTAAACTGAAGACTTAAATTTTACAAGGTCATTGAGACTAAAAGGGTATTCCAGGAAAGGTAAATAACATACATAAAGGCAGGGAGGCATGCAATATTTACAATGTTAGAGGAACCACAGGCATTTTGATATTATTGAAACTTGAAGAAAACAGGAGGGTAGTGTTGATGGTCAGCAACCAGATCATTAAGTAGTCACAGCTTTATTCTATAGGCTATGGAGAGCCACTGAAGTGTTTAAGCTAGGAAGAAACATGATCAGGTTTACATGTTAGAAAGATAATTCTGCCCACAGCAAAGAAAATAGATTAAATATAGTCTAGTCTAGAGGCAGGAAACTCAGGTGGCCATTGCAAGAATCCAAGTAAAAGATACTGAGGGCTTGAACCAAGGTACAACAATGATCATGGAGAGGAAATCATGCATCTGAGACCTATTTAGGAAATAAAATTTACAGGACTTAATTATAATGATGATGATGATAATAATCATAACAATACTTAAGGTTTACTGAAGAATTGCTATAGATCAGGCTCCGTACTGAATGCTTTCATTTTCACACTAAACCTACTAGGTAGGTGCTTTTAATTCTCATAAAGCTTGTTCATCTCTAATATCTCCTAGCTTAGTAATTGGGTCCACCTTTTGCCCAATAGCTTGGGTCAAATGCCATCACCTTTAATCTTTCTCTCCCACTCTACATCCAATTCATCAGCAAAGGACATGATTACTCCTTACTACTTTCATGACAGCAGCCCTTATCCAAGTTACTACCATCTCTGTTTAGGATTATTGGAAACTGCCTTCTGACTTGTTTCCCCATTCTTGCGTTGTTTTCCTGCAACTTACTCTTCCTACAATAGTTAGAGTGATGTTTGCCATACGTCAAAGATGCCAATTGATTCCATCACACTTAGACCCGAATTGGAAGTTTTTACGAAGACCACCACTGCCCTACCTGAATTGACAACTGGTTACTTTGCTAATTTATTGCCTACAGTTTCCTCGACTTCTCTTATCCTCCTCTCAGTACATGTCTTTGCTCCTCCTTGAGCATGCACAGGCATATTCCTGCTTCAGGGATCTTGTACTTGTTTTTCCTTCGGCCTGGAATTATCTTCACACGATTTCCTCCCACAGTTTCAAATGTTCAAATGTCATCTCTGAAAATATACCTTTTTTTTAACCATTCGAACTAAAATAGCACTATTCTCCCTACTCTACCATCACTATCCTCCAATCAACTTCCTCCTTCATTACAAGTCTTGCTACCCAGTCTATCTATTATTTCTTCATTAACTGATGGTCTTCCTTGGTAATGTAACTCAGTATTATTTTTGGCTTGTTTCCTGTTATATACGTAGGGCTGAGGGCAGCAGTGTCCTGAATTTTATGGGTATGTAATGCTTGCTGAATGAAGGTATGTATGAATGAATATATTAATGAATCCTCTTTTTATAGCTGAAGAAACAAAACCAGAGATAAGTAACTTTTCTAAGTTTATACAGCTATTAGATATCAAGAGCTGAGTTTCAAACCTGTGTGACATCCCTGTAGAACATGTATGTTTAACCACTGCAGTTACTTCACTGTGTGTACCTAGTAACTCATAGTGGAAACTCTGGTTCACAGATGAAAATATTAGAGGAAAGATATTAAATTCCCTCTCCTCCTTTTTACATATTTTAGTTAAAACTTTGCAATTAGATATGATTCATAGGAAGAGCACATTCAATATGGCAAAAATAGAAGAGGGTCAAAGATGAAGCTAGTCATTGTGATGTATGGAAAAAATGATAACTTAAAGTCACAACATTGCTTTTCTGTTCATGTGTATGATGAAGCCCATCTACATAGTCATGTAGGTGGGCTTCATTCCTCCTATATATAAAATGTGTAAGGATAATTCCTACCTTATATATTGTGAGGATCAAATGAGTAATATAGGTAGTTTGTAAATATATAAGGATATATTTATATTGTAAATATATAAGGATAATTCCTACCTTATATATTGTGAGGATCAAATGAGTAATATAGGTAGTTTGTAAATATTATTAAAATGATGATTTTATCATTATAATGGGGGGATGATATTGTATAGAGTATATAAAATGATTGTGGGTTAGAATGTATCATGTATTCTCTTTTTCTAATGTGCCGTATATCCTATTGTTGTGTATGTGTGTTATATGGCTAAGTACCACTTGCGTAGATGCTTTTGGCTCTTGCAGACTCAGTCACTCTCCCAACATGCCACTTACACAGTGGGGAAATTTTGCTCAATATGTGCTAACTAGCTCATGTAATTGACCTTCTGTCTTACAATGCATAATCGCAGTCCTTGTATCAGGAGTTGCTAATAGTGAGATGGCAAAGAAGTTCAGAGACAAACTAACCCTTTTCACTTTTTTCCTATTAAATTTATTGCAAATTGTTGTGGCTAGATAATTTAAACAAGTTGAAAAATAACCTCTTACGTATGTAAAAGACAGAAAAAGCAAAGCAGTGCTCTAGAACTGCTGTGTTTACTCAGTCAGAGGCGTTTAAAAGACTTGTTTCATGAGAAGCAAAGGGAAAAGTTTAAAAGCTTAGCCGTAGCAATTACAGGGAACATGTTTTCTGTCTCTCCTCGTAGAAATGCCTGTCTCATCTCATAGAAATGCATGCATCTCATCCTCAATGTCTGCCAGCCTTCTTGTCAGACCAATTACTTTAAAACAATTGTTTCATTTGGAATAGATGCCACAGCCCAAGTGATTGTCCCTTGTCAGTGACACATTCAATTAAAACAACTCTGAATAGGAGTTCTGGAGGGCCTACTGTGCCTTGTCCAATCTTATCAGTCAACAAAGAACAACCTCAGAGACTTCAGCACTGACTGGTTCCACTGTCAGGTGGTTTGAACATGTTGCACCTTCCCAGGGTTTCTCAGAGTCTTTCGTCCCTGTGCCTTTTACAGCCAATGACAGGCGCCAACTCAGCAGTGTCTGGGTCCGCAATGCCAAGAAAGCTTATGGCAGTAAATAAGATGGCAGCTGTGACAGTCCTGACAGCTGGCTGGAGCTCAGGGTGGCAGGCTAAACCGGACTGTGAGCAGTTGGAGTAGCAGTGAGGTATGACCACCATTACTGGTAGGCAGATGTCAGTTTCCACACTACTAGTTACAACATGATGTGACAGACACAGTCACATCATTACAGAGACAGACAGAACTTTAAACAAACCCTGAGAACTAGCAAGTTCTGTACCTTTAGGAAAATTTAAACATTCGTATTTAAACAAAAATTCCTTACCATTTCAGTAGTTGTAAAATTAGAGAAGAATCTTGCAAAGTAGTAATAGCAGAGAATTTGCTCTTCCACATAAGAACTAGAATCAATGGTAATAAAACTGATCTCAAAAAATAAAAGAAAGTTTTGTGTGTTGGCCACTGTTTTAGAAGAGCTTCTGTGAGTCCACATTTATGTATCTTAGGATTCCTTTGCCTAGAAATTGTAGGGGTTCCTATACCTTTTGACGATTCTCCCATAGTTTTTTTCCATAGGCAAATTCCCTGCCCTTCTGTCTCTTCATTATCTTTTCTATTTCCGAAGGACAACTGATGATAAAAATACTTTTTATCAGAGGAGATGAGAGGTTTAAAATATGCATTATGGAAAGTTAGGTAAAATGGAAAGAAGCTGTTATATTAAATCATGTGTACCATTGTTTATAGGACAAATGAGTTTCTGTGGCCTCATGGAGTCTGTACAAAACACAGATCTCTTGCTACTTTGTCCTAAAGTCAACCAAGGAGGGCAAGCAAGTTTCAAATCTGGAAATTCATCATGGATCTAAAGTTGAAAGCAGTCACAATAGCTCTGGCAGCAGATAGTGACAGAGATGAACTTAGTCACATAGAAAAGTCAGCAGAATGACACCAGTACAAACTGATGCTGCTGCTTTCACATCCTAACCCTTAAGAAGATTTAAGGTCAGTTCACCTAAAATCAATTCTCCTAATGTCCTGTCCCCTGAAACACACATTAACCTGATAATCAGATTCCTAATAAAAATCTGTCATACATGTAGCATTTTATATATGATAAGATGCCACTCTAAGCATTTTTGAGATATGGTTTTTTGTGTTTTTCTTAAATGTATTTTTATAACACTTTAAACACTTAATCTTAAGTGGGTGAAATACCTTGGAAACCCTCAAAAGTAGACAAAATGATCCCTGTGAAAAATGATAAAAATGCCTCTAAGCTAACACTACTTGAGCACAGATGAAAAGTTGTATATTTGATAAATGAACATTTTAGATGAATGTGTAATTAGGCAAATTGATCATTATGCCAATTGATTTTAAGTACATTAATTTAGGCAATTTGACATTCTCGCCTTAAAGGTGCCTTCCCATTCTGGAATTCTATGATTCCTGATATGCACATCAAAGTCACTGCCCAAAACAGGGTTTGTTAACAAGAGTGGCAGCACTTGCTTCGTTCTATCTATAAGTGAGGTCAATATTTCTGATGGAAAGCAATGTTTTTAACAATAACAAAATCACTGAATAGTAACTATGGGCCAAGAATACACCTATATATTTTACATTTGTTTGTTCAATAAATACTTATTGGATATCTACTATCTGCCAGGCACTTTTCTGAATTAACTCAGGTGATTCTCACCCTGACCCTCTGGGTCATCCCCAAATATGGCAGCAGGTAGAGCTGGGAATTGAAGCAAAGACATGTTAAGTAATTGCCTAATTAAGTGGTAGAGCTGGGAATTGAACCCAGGCAGTTTGGGTCAGTGCTTTACTGCCTCAGCAGATAAGTTCTGCTGATAAGTCATTAACCATGCTGTTTGACATGATTTTTCAGGTTGGTCAAAACACAAGGGCAGCTTTTGGGGATGTAAATGATACTCTTGTATGGTTAAAAAGAAAATGTAAGAGTTGCTCCTTCTCAGTGATGGTATTGCTGGAAAATCTGAAATCATTGCTGGAGAATGGTCCACACCTTCTCTGAATTTATCTAATACTTTCCAAGTCCTAAATTGAGATGAAAGAGACAACCTATCAAAAGAAGGAAGTGACAAGCAAGAAATTCCAGAAAAATCTTATTAAAAGTGTGATAGTATGACATGTTAATAAGGTTCATATTCCTTCTGTCTTCTGTTTATGGAGTTTGAAACTGTTTCTTCACCTCTCTACCTTAATACTTCTGTAATATATGGGAGTTGAATATTTGCAGGATGTGACTCCAAGGGGGACTTCTTTGCTGGCACTGTGAGCAAGGTTTCACCAGCAGGAGCTGGTGACAAGGATCATTGCTGTGTCTTTTATGCTGTTGAACAGGTGAGCATACAGAATAATCAGAAATCTACTACATTGGCTGGGCACAGTGGTCCATGTCTGTATTCCCAGCACTTTGGGAGTCAGAGGCAAGAGGATCACTTGAGCCCAGGAGTTTGAGACCATCTTAGTAACATAAGAAGATCTTGTCTCTACAAGAAATGCAAAAATGAGCCAAGCATGGTGGCATGCACCTGTAGTCCCAGCTACTTGGGAGACTGAGGCAGGAGAATCACTTGAACTCAGGAGTTCTAGACTGCAGCAAACTGATTGTGCACTGCAAACTGCAAACTGATTGTGCCACTGCACCCCAGCCTGGGTGACAGAGCAAGACCCTGTCTCAATAAATAAACAACAAACAAACAGACAAACAACATTGATACAATATGATACAATATCGAGCATTTGGTGCCAAACAGCAGGCATAATTCTGAATAACAGAAACTGTTTAGTCCCAATACTACTGCTGACAGTACCTCTAGTGTCCTTATTCAAATAAATAATCTTTTATTAGATGATAATAGCAAATCCTAATACAGTAAGTCTTCACTTAGCATTGTCCATAGGTTCTTGGAAACTGTGACTTTAAGTGAAACAGCAGAAAAGGAAACCAGTTTTACCACAGGCTAATTGGCATAAACAAGAATTAAGTTCCTGGCCGGGCGCGGTGGCTCACGCCTGTAATCCCAGCACTTTGGGAGGCCGAGGCGGGCGGATCACGAGGTCAGGAGATCGAGACCATCCCGGCTAAAACGGTGAAACCCCGTCTCTACTAAAAATACAAAAAATTAGCCGGGCGTAGTGGCGGGCGCCTGTAGTCCCAGCTACTTGGGAGGCTGAGGCAGGAGAATGGCGTGAACCCGGGAGGCGGAGCTTGCAGTGAGCCGAGATCCCGCCACTGCACTCCAGCCTGGGCGACAGAGCGAGACTCCGTCTCAAAAAAAAAAAAAAAAAAAAGAATTAAGTTCCTATGGCATATTTATGGTTACAAAAACATCACCAAACTAAATAAAGACCAAAACACTACTAACACTGAACATAGAAATAATTGTAACCTGTATGTACATTTAAGAAAGATTAATAAAAACAAGTAAGATGATTATTTAAGTTCAAGGTAGTAGATGGACAGTGCCTATCCCAGCATCTCAGGACACCAGGTGGAAACTGACCCTTGACAGGATGCCATCCTCTTGCAGGGTGCACACACACACACATACACACACACCCATACTCACTCACTTGGACTGGGACCATGTAGACATGTCCATTCACCCAACCCAGAGAAAACCTATGCAGACATGGGGAGAATGTGCAGACTCCACAGGGTCAATGGCCCTGGCTGGGAATTGATTTCTTTTTTCTCATCAACATTACAATAAAAGGACATTGAACAAAGTGACATTATTTGAAGATCTGCTATATATATAATGCCCATGTAAATTTGTTGGTAAATTACTAAGTGAAAATCAAGAAAACCACAAGACAAAAAGAAGAGAGAAAAGAAAGTCTCAGATTAGAATTATTTACAAGTATAAAGCAGTATTGTTTGGTTATTTGAGCTTAAATCTGTAAGATCAAGAAAAAGACAAGGAACACACTTTGGCGTGGCTAAAGAAATATTTGCAAAAGGTAATACATACCTACAATGCAACTGACCCACTGGGAACAGTCTTTCCACAGAAGTGAAATGTCTTCCTGAACTCAGCTGGCGATAAGTTTATGCCCTGAAGCATGATTATAATGTTAACCTTGAAATGTCCTAATGAAATGAGTTTGGGGGTCCCAGCCTATATATTTTTATATGCACTGGTGCATGCTTTGGAACATATCTTGACGGACTGTCAGCAGAATAGCACAGCATGTATCTGAGATTACAGAGTGACCTATAGTCTCCATAATGTGACTCCTATTTTTTCCCACATGATGCACATCTCAAAATTCAGCCCAGAAGGGAGAAATGACTTCTTAATGACAGTCTGTACATTATTGATGGGGCAATAGGGTGGTAAAGAGATAACCGTAGGTGTCTTGTTTGCCAGTTGATAAACCAGAGTGAGTGCATTCCCTCGAGAAAACATGCTTTGCAGAAAACCAGTTATCCGTTCAGTTTCTCACTAATAAAAATATTGAAAATTTGAGATTCACCACCCCCACCTTCTTTCCTGAAAACCTTAGTGGAGTCTGAATCTAAAGTGAGGCTGTGAATTAAGACATAAAATTAAAATTGAGATGCACACATACCACTTGGGTGAATAGAGTACTAGTAAGAACTTAGGTTGAGGTAAATGACAGAGTTCTATTATGTGTACTTCATAGTGATGACAACAGGTCTCCTTGGTGATCTTTCTAAGTTTTAAGGCAAGAGAGCTTCATATAGCTGGAAGGGATAGAAGCTGCTATGGCTATTATATTTGTTTTAAATAAAATATCTAGAAAGGAATAGTCTCCGGAGACATGTATAGGTTAACACCTTAGTATTTGAGGGATTGTCTGGTAAATCTCTGATATGATGGTGCCACTCTTTCACAAAAACAGGGGAGATTAAGTTGTAGCTGTCTAATCTTCTTGTATCAACTTTGGAATCAGTTTGGTAACATCAGCTATTTATTCTGTCTCCTGAAGGAAAAATGTTTAACTTCTCTGGAATCCACTACTTCTTGACATAAACCAGCTCAGGATGACCTTCTGTTGTACTACACAGGAACTGAATGTTGGGCAAAATTCTGTAGCAAAACTTTTTCACAATTGAAAACTTTGTATGTCTCACTCCTTTGAATGTGAGTGTCACGCTGATAAATAGCTTGCATTCCTTATACTTAACTTCTCTGAGTGGAATTAGAGATTTTTTTTCCCCTCAGGGGCCATTATGAATTTATGAACCATTTTTCTTTTCTCTAATCTTCAGAGAAGAATCCACTTGTATGGAGAAGACTCCAAGGCAATTGTCATTTTATGGAGTGAACCTAGTTAGTGTGTATTAAACAGGAAAATTTTAATTTCTGATGAACTGTAGAACAAGGGCATATATATTTGAAGATGACTAAGCACAAAACCTTTTATTCTCCCTCATTGAAAATCATCTTTCCTGGCTTACACAAAACTCAAACTGTGAGATTATTTAGATATTAACAATGTCTTCAAAAAATTTCATTAGTTATCATGTATTGGTAGTGACATCTCCACACACCATTGCCATCACCATTCTCATTACTCTTAACATCCTAAAAGAGTATTGAGTTAAAAATCCCCTGTGACTTCAGCATTTCTCCTCCCGGCTAATGCAAGAAACTCAGACAAGATTGAAATAAAAAAGGGAGATGAATTATTTAGCCTGCAGAAGAGAAGGCTAAGTGAGTTTGAGGATCATGAAGGAAATTTAATAATAGTCTTCATGTATGGAACAGATACAGTACAAAGATTGATGGCTAGGTATTCTCTACATTTACAGAGTTCATAATAAGAGGAAATAAAATAGAAAGCACCTAAAGTAGAAACAAGAAAACATTTTCTGATGTTGAAGTTTGTTGGTTATGAATGTGTTCAGTTCATCATTCAGTATTTATCAAGTATCTAAAATATGAGGTTGTAGTTGCTCAGGGTGATATGGTTTATTTGGGGGTCTTTTTTGCATGTATTTGTATTTTGTTTGAAATGATTTAGCTGGTCTTGTTTAGAGATAGAGAAACAGATTATTGGCTTTATGAGTTTTGCAATTCTGTCAGAGACAAAGCAGAGAAAGTGAGATGCTGATGCAAATGTTCACACAGACATAAAATGGGTTTTCCCATCACTCATCTCTAGAAGCACAGGAAAAGTAAAAGAGATGGGTTCCCATCAATGGAATCACTGGGGCTCCCACATCTCTAGGTCCGTCTTTTAAGTATAGTCCAACAAGGTTGACTAACATCCTTAAGTTCTATTAATGGTTTCCTCTTGCAGAGCTTTGGTGACCTTAGTACCATTCTAGTGGCTCTCTGCTGAATAAATGATGACCATTGACTCGGGCTAAGATATGCTCTCTCTAGTTTGCTACCAATGCCACACTAACCTGCTTGTTAGTCAACTTCAGTTTTGACTTGATGGATGTCATCCTTCTACTCCATATAAGACATTTATTCCTCTGACCCCAAATCTATGTTCTCATTAAGGTCATAGACAGTCCTTTCTTTCTGAGAAAAATCATTACTTATTAAGCACTTGAATGGTGAGAATTTGCTCTTTCAGTCAGGATAGATTCTCTTTTTTGCTGAGTTTGAGAAAAATATGAGTTGCAAGGCTTTACATGGACATAAAACTAACATCCTAACTGACAATTCACCAGTATGAATAACTGACTTCAAGCAACTAAAATCCTATAATTGTGGGTGAGTTCCTGCCTCCCAAGAAACCTCTCTTCTTGTTGGCTATGCCCTTGGCTATCTCCATGGCCAGAGAATCGCAAGTCATCATCTTGGGGCTCAACTATTCATTCCAAAGCCATTTTTGCCATTTTCCAGTTGCAAATTAGGCCCTCTTGTAAATATAGCCCCTCACTGTCAGCCTTTCAACTATGCCTTTCCTTTCTTCTCCCATTTCATTTAGATAAGTAGAAGTACTGAATTTTAAAAGCACCTGTTATAGTTTCTAGGGCAAAGATGACTATCTTAACACTAATAGAACACTTACTTTTTCATATGACTCCTGTAAATAACTTGCAGCCAAGATATAATTAAATAGCATGGACTTAAATGAGGCCAGAGAGAAAAAAGATTAAAAATGTGTGGCTTTCTTAAGGTGACCCCAGTTCATTGATACTGTTCTACTTTTATTGCAGGAAAATATCTGAGTTGACTTAGTGAGAAATAAAATTAAACATTAAAATATCTATATAGGTATTAGACAATACTTTCATCCACTGTATCTTGTTACTATACGGGAAACTGATGAACAATTTCAGGGCACGGCTGGAGGAAGTGCTTTCCTCAGGAATCTGAAGTATAAGCAGGGTTTGCAGCTTGTCCAAGATCATACCATAAGTGACAGAGAGATTTGTATTTAAATAGGTCTGAATCCAAAATCTTTGTGTTTTCCTCCATATTAATTAACTTTTATAGTGAATATAAAATTATCTCATAAGTCCTGTAATGTTTCAATTCAAAAATTGTAAATGTGATGATGGTTCCTGTAATCACTCCCTCTTCTTAGAGACCCTTTATCTCTTCACTTGGCTTCCAGTTTCCTATTTCTCTGTGTTTGCCTCTTGCCTCACCAGCAACTCATTCTGTCTTCCAAACTTCTTGTTCTTGGAGGGGCCAGACCTTAGTACTATGACCTAGTTGTATTAAACATTTATTCTTTTGGGGATCACATGCGGTCTTATGGTTTTAAATGCTATCTGTGTCTAACAGTACTAAGTTTATACATCTGCATTTTGGAACTTTTACTCTGAACTCTAGACTTATACATTCAACTGCCTACTCAATATCTTCTGAGGGCTAATAGCCATCTCACATTCAACAAGTCCAAAACTGAACTGCTAACTCTGCCCCACACAAACTTGCTCCATTTCAGTCTTTGTCATCTACTAATGGCAAGCCTATTCTTCAGTGGGTTACACCAAAGTCCTTAGAGTCCTATTTACTCTTCCAATTTTCTATGCTTCACAGAAAAATTGATTTGGCTTTGCTTCCAAATGCATCCAGAACTAGGCCACACCTAAATATCCATACTGCTTCCACAACTATCACAGCACCACCATCCCTTGCCTGGATTGCCACTGTAGCTTCCCTACATTCTTCCAGCTCCCACTCTTGCTTCCTATATTCTATTCCCAGTAGAGCAGCAAAAGTGATTTTGTTTCACTATAGATTATGGAATAGTTCTGCTCAAACTCTTCAAATCTTCTCAATATTTCTCAGAGTTACAGCTATAATCCTTACAAAGCCCTTCAAGAATCTACCAGATTTGGCCCTCTGTTATCTTGCTACACACATTGTCTATTACCCTCTCTTTCTTCCTTTGCTCCAACTACCTATGCTGGAATTTCTACCTGTTCTTTACACCCCAGGCAGCTCCTGATTCAAAGCCTTTGCACTCACTCTTGCCTCTGCACAAAAAGCTTTTTCAGCAGAGGGATGCATGGCTTTCTCCTTCAGCTCTTTCCTCTTATGTCAGTGAGGCTGACCTTGATCACATCTTCCCTCCCACTCCTCCTTAGGCTACACTATTTTGTCTCCCTCATGGCTTTTATCACTTTCTAAAGTGTGATGTAATTCAATTATTATGCTTATTTGTTTTATGTTTTTTCTCTCCCCTCTAAAATGTATGCCCCATCAAGCAGGTTTTCTACCGCTTTGCTGTTGGATGAATTCCCACAGCGTAGAGCAGTGCCTGGCACACAGTTGGAAGTCAATTAATATTTTGAGGAAGGAAGGAAGGAAGGAAAGAAGGAAGGGAGGGAAGGAGGGAAGGGAAGGGAAGGGAAAGGAAGGGAAGAAAAGAGTGAGAAAGAAAAAAGGAAGAAGAAAAAGGGTTTGTTTTTTGTTATGGGGTCTACCATATATCTCTATTATGTACGGTAATACCTTAGTTTCTGGATAATCTATGGAAATTACTCTTTGGAATAATAATTTGCAGTATTTATACTGAGAATATTTTTGAGGGAGCATTTCTTGAAGGAATTGGATGTTAATAAAAAAGTAAAGCTATTTCATCATATCTAAGAGGAGCCTAAGGAAACATAAGAACTAAATGTAATGAATCCTGGATAGGATTCTGGAACAACAACAAAAGAGTCAAGATAAAAACAAAAGAAATTCCAAGGTATAGACATTAGTTAATAATAATGTTTCAATAGTGGTTTGTTAATTATAACAAATATATCAAACCACCATAAGATGTTAATAGGACAGAGTGAGTTTGAGGGTGTGCGGTATACAGGAGTTTTCTGTACTATTGCAGAAATTTTTACATAAATCTAAAATTATTCTGAAAGAAAATATTTGTTAAAAAATAAGGATGTTGGTTAAAAGGAATTGATTACAAGTTTTATTTAAAACTTTATTTCATCATTATTATTCAGTTTGTATGTGACATCAATACAACTATTTGAAATGTTTTCCAACATAATTTTTTAAAGGATTATGAAAATAATTTCATTTTACATGTATTGATAAATATTTTATGAGGCCAAAGTAGTATAGCATCACAGCAGCTACCGGCAATTAGGAGCATCAGAAACCCTCGATCATTTCCAACCCCCTTCCAAAATAAGAATAGTTTAATATTATTCCTGACCATCTGAGGAAATTTTAAGAATTGTTCTTTTCCTTTTTTTAAGGGGCTAGAAAAAAAAAACATACTCAGATTTAGCCCCTATTTAGGTGAGTTAACTATTAAAAAATAGACAAATATATTAACATATTAGAAAATATACACTTAGTAATCTGAGGAAAACTTTGAAACTAAAACCAGAATAAAAACCAATACAATAAGAGTGAAGATGCAAGAGGTTAGTTTAATATCATTGATGAGTATAAAATATACTGGAATATAGTCAGCTGTGTGTTGCGTGTGTGTGCATGCACACATGTGAATATACTTGATTTTGATCACAGAAGATAATATGTTTTGCACAAACTTGGAAGAAAAGCAAACAATACTAGAGTTATCATCAAAGATAAAGTGTGTAGGCAACAGAAAAGGCAGTCTATGGCAGCAAACTATTGCATATATTATAAGGACATGGAGGTATAAGGTGATATATTGCAAGCATAATTTGCATAATATTAGATAGCCCTTTGAGACTAAAGGATTGTTCTTATAGACCATATTGAGAGAGAGACAGAGAGAGAGAGGATAGAGACACCACCTTGAGATGTGGTACAGATCACCTTGGGAGGAGTTCAAGGTAGAATTTAAAAAGGCTAAAGAAAACAGTGCTTTTTGATTTTGCATTAATATGTAAATTGAAACATTCTTTTTGAAAATTTCTTAAATGCTGCAGAGGAGTTGCTCTCCTTGCTGACTCTGATCAGAACATGCTGGTTAATAAATCACGTAACTGTATATTCACATTGATCCATCTGTTCTAGTAATCCCTTATTGCATCTTGAAGGAAGCCCCAACATCACCCCCATTTTTTACCTATTTGGAAAATGAGGGTGTTCTAAGCAGCCTGTTGTGACACTTACTTGCACCATGTGACCTCCCTATCACTCAGGAAGCAGTAGTAGAACTGGAAGACATGAAAGTCTGCCACAGTGTGTGTGTGCACTGGTCCTAAGAGGATAAGACGGAGGCTGAGGGTATACAGGAACTGGAGGACTTTTTTCAACTCTGCGTGGCTAATTCTTTCCTTTTGGATATATTTGCTGGCTGTGGATTGGGGGAGGGATGGGGGAAAGTTTAATTCATAGGCAAGTTGCACACACAGTAATATCAACCTACTGGATTACTTTGGTGAATGAGATGGGTGACTTATTTTTTACTCTCAGTAATTGCCCTGCTGAGAATGAACATTGGCCAAGAACTGCGGACCTTAAGTTTTGTGGTTTCTAGCTCAGGACTTCAATATTAGGTGATCTTACTTTTAGATGCATTTTCACCCTGCTGAGCTCCAGACTTATCATTCAGATTAGGTTATTTTAATTTAGGCAGAATACTTTATCCAATCCTGTTTGTATCTGAATAGGTTTTTGTTGTTGTTTTTGCTAAAACAGTCTGTTTTCACTGGTACATATACATTATATTTTCTCTTTGTCTTTCACTTTTAAATAAGTGCAGGATTGATGCACTGAAAGGGAATTGGTCAACAGCATACATCAACTTCAGCCAGATAGGCTGAAGTTGTAGAAGGTTGTAGATGTTAAGTCATGTTTTTACAAACCCTTATTGTGCATCAAAGTGGAAGTCCTGAGTTTTCCTTGATCAATACATCTTTACTAAGTGTAATAGCATCCCTTAAATGTTATCTATCCAGGTAATTCAGTAGTTTCTCAAGCCAAGCAACTCCCATAAGACTGCTTTCTGATGGATCTGAAAGACATTACTAGAAGACTTACTGGAATAATGCTGTTATGTTTTCAGAATTTGTGAACAAACTTGGGAGCTAAATTAACAAATGAGCTGATGCTTCCTGTGACTGGAGCTCATAAGATCTACTTGTTAGAACCAGAGCAACCATAATGTCCTCAGTTTGGGACATGTTTAAGCTCCTGGAGAGCCTTTACCACTCCCAAGAGGCCTCTATTTAGCCTAAATATTTCCATAACTATGGGAGCTCACCCTTAGATAGAAAGGATTCGAGATCTTCACCAGGCTATTTGTCTTTTATTGACTACTTTGGAGTTTACTAATATATGTACCTTTAAGAGTATGACCCAGAATGAACACACCACTCCATTTGTCTGTATTCAGACTGAAAGCAATGAAATTATTACTTCCCTTTATTGAGATGATTTTCACATTCTCTGACACTCCAGACCCGCCCTGTACACCTCAAAGTGATGTAATCAACTGCTTATTGTAACTTTTCTCTATCCAACAAGTTTCCTTTAAATATTTCTTCTATGTAGCTAACTCACTGTCTGTTCAATTCCAGTCACCATTCAAAAGCTCCTGAAATTTGTCATTTATTTTTGTCATCTTCTGTAGTTCCTCCATTAAAATACTAACACTGCAGACTAAGATATCCCCCCTGCCCAGCAACGTTTCCAGCATCTAATATACACTAAACAAATATCTCTATTGTGAATAAATGAGAAATATATGGATAATACTATTCCTCAGATTAATATGTGGGAAAGAATAATATACTATTATAATCAAATTCTTCTAAGATTTATTGAAAAATTGATAATGCCTGACATCAAAGGTATAAACACTGATTTATTCTCTTTGTTTCTCCTCATTATAATTTATGATAACACATAACAGAACACAAAAGTGGATTATGCATGATGGTTGTCACTTTTTCCTTCTGTGTACATGATTTTTTTTTAAATAAGGGAATATTACCAAAGGCTATATGTGTGCATATTTTTTCTTCTACTGTGTTTCTGAAAAAATGTCATTGAGATATTTTGTCTTCATTAATTTTTATAGATACTGTTTGTTTTATTAATTTTAAAGTTAAAATATTGAAGCTACCTGTGATAGAATTTTGGAGTCTGGCCAATAAGTTAGAATCCAGTAATTAGTAAAAAGCTAGAGAATCCAATAGATTTCAGACCACAGATTTGGTCAAGTCCTCTATCTTCAATCTTCTTGATGGATTAAGATTTAAAAGCACCCCCTTCAAACAACAATGTCTACGTTCTGTTTTGAAACTATGAAACTGCCCACATTCATTTTTAGGATATATTCTTAAACCATATTCAGTGCCCTCTCTTCCTTGTGCTCTTGGTCAACACCTGTATTTTATTTGTGAACAATCCTGTCTCTACTTAAAGGTAGAAAAAATATTTCTTTTCCCAAGCAATAACTAACATAGCATTTTCTGTGAAACAGATACTAAATTAATATAATTAAATACATTACACATAATTTGTAAAATCAGTAAAGTTAACATTGTACTATTTCTACTGAATTTATGCTTCTTCAATATGCTGCCAAGTGGCCAAGTCTATTCTTCATTGATTTCTTGTCAATCATTAAATATATATTTTACTGTTTCACTTTACCCCATTTTTCAGAATTATCCATTTCAGCCATAATTTATTACTTGCTCTATGCTATTTAGGTCTGCTTGCCAGTTCTAAATGACCACAATATCATTTTACAGATATAATTCGCAATAGATAGAAAGATTAGTACAGATTCTTATCATTTGATCACTTTATATTGTCATGTTTTTGGATTAATGGTATATTGTATCTTATTTCACTAAGCTAAAATGAGAGTCTAATAAAAATTATGGTGTCTAGAAAGTACGATTGTAGTATTTAAAATAACCAAGATAATACATACCTAGGAGTCACATTTTCCCTCAATTGATCACTACAGAAACATTCTAAGTGAAGCTGTTGTTGAAGTGAAGTTTCTGTCAAAGAGCCTGATTTAATATGATATTACATGAATTACGGCCAGATATAAGTTGAAATTGGCTTTTCCAGAATCTTCTTGTCTTTTCTTTCTTCCACTGCAAAAAGATGTACAAGTATCAATTACATTTTTCAATATCACATGAGCTTTATTTATTTGTAACTAGATAACTTGATAGAGATACCTGTAGGAATCACATTTTTCAATCTTGAGCAAACTCATTTGCTAAAATACAATATAAATATCAAACTGAGCAAAATTCAGTTGATATATTCTTCTTATAGCCAGAAGCTCAATAGGTATGAAGCCCATAAAAGGAAAACTATAGCTCTATTGAGAAGAAACATATTAGATTAAATGATTGTAAAAAAGTGAGAACATTTAAGCAAGTGAAAGATGGTATGGAAAACATTTAGCATGGATTAATAAAAGAAAAATGGGGCTGGGCGCAGTGGCTCACACCTGTAATCCCAGCACTTTGGGAGGCCGAGGCGGGCAGATCACAAGGTCAGGAGATCGAGACCATCCTGGCTAACACAGTGAAAACCCGTTCTGAAAATTAAAAATACAAAAAAGAAAAAAAAAATAGCCCGGTGTGGTGGTGGGTTCCTGTAGTCCCAGCTACTCGGGAGGCTGAGGTGGGAGAATGACGTGAACCCGGGAGGCGGAGCTTGCAGTGAGCCCAGATTGCACCACTGCACTCCAGCCTGGGCGACAGAGCGAGACTCTGTCTCTAGAAAAAAAAAAAAAAAAAAGAAGAAAGATGAGTATCAGGCTTAACAAACAAATGAACCTTCACCAGGCAACAGAATCAATGAGTTTCTGACAAAGGTAAAGCAATGAGCATAATTTGTTTAGAGATTTAAAAGCCTCTTTAGTTTTACTGCATCACAGACAAGAACATAGTTAGCAAGTATTTTTAGAGAAGTTATATCTGTATATATTTTTAAATTTTTTGTGACGGAATCTCACTTTGTCTCCCAGGCTGGAGTGTAGCGGCACAATCTCGGCTCAGTGCAACGTCCGCCTCCCAGGTTCAAGCAATTCTCCTGTCTCAGCCTCTCGAGTAGCTGGGACTACAGTCGCACGCCACCACGCCCAGCTAATTTTTGTACTTTTAGTAGAGATGGGGTTTGTCCATGTTGGCCAGGCTGGTCTTGAACTCCTGACCTCAAGTGATCTGCCTGCCTCGGCCTCCCAAAGTGCTGGGATGACAGGCTTGAGCCACTGCTCTCAGCCTTAGAGGAGTTATATATCGAGTGAAAAAATAGTGCACAATAATGAAGAACATTGAGAAGCATTCCAGATTAGACAGGATGAAGAACTAAATAGAAGGAGGGGCTCCGCATATGCTCCCACACCATCTCTGCTCAGACATGTACTAAGGGCAACAAAATTGATTTCCGGGGGAAAACTAACATTGCCAACCAATAATATTGGCAAACAAATTATGAATAAATTGGATCTGTTACTGGAACTTGATATTCTCGATTTTCCACTACCTGAATTCCTTAGGAAATATGAAGTTTTATATCGATGATAGCTACATCTTTCATGCCAAAATGGATTTCACACTAATGAATAATTAGAAAATTATCTCCAAAGGACATATATGAACAATGGCAGGTCACATCTTGACTGCTCTCCTTCAGTTATATACTTAGATAATATTTTCTCCTCTTTCTTTTCTACTTCCTGTTTTCCCACACCTACAAGCCCTGCTTATCACAGCATTATATCTTACATATTCTGTATCAGCAAACTCCAGTGAAATCACGTTTTCACATTTTTACTTCAGTTCTGGGTCAGACTCCAGTGTTTTTGCACTTCAATTACTTCAGTAATTTTCCAGTGTAAGTTAAAATTTTATGTATCTAGCTCCCAAACTGGCTCCTTTTCCTATAATTCCACACTGGACTAATCATATTATCCTCCAAAAGGTTATTTTTGAGTCCTCTTTTTCCTTCACCTATCTGGGGGCTTCCTTAATCTTTCTATACTTTCTAAACTTCCTTTTTCTCTATTATTCATTTAAGCCTCTAACACTTCTAGCCAGTATTATTACAAGTAATGCCAGCTTCTAATTATGTATTTATTCTTTCAAACATGCATTGTGCTAGTGATTTTATAAACACTTTTAAAAATAATTTTTGTAATGCTCAGTCAAGGAAGGTATGACAATGCCTAGTTTACAAATAAGAGACAGGAAACTCAGAAAGTCTAACAAACTTGCTGAAAGTCACCTAGTTAGTGAGAGGAGGATCCAGGATTCAAAACTCTGATTCGTAACGCCAATTTTTTTTTTGCAATATTTCTCATAATTGTTTCTTCTCTATTGTCCTTCCTTTATTTAGTAGTTATTTTATTATTACAAAACTATTTTTAAGTGATTATTTGGCTAGAAATTTAAATCTCTTCAATGCAGCCTATGTCTGACATCTATACTGCTTTCTGGATAAACTCTAATCTCCTTGGCATGTCATATGAAGCTTCCTATGATCTGGCCTCTTTGTCCTCATCTCTCCCTATTCCAACCAAACAACCCGAGCCATACTAAACTATAAAGTTCCTTTATGGCAGATTCTTCACCTGACCTTCACGCTGTCACTGCTCCCCTTCTCCCATGGAATCTCCTCATCATCATCCACTGGAAGGTGTGACATCATTTCATCTTATTCCTCATATTCCATTATTTGTAAGGTTCTTTCAGGATAGGACTATCACTTATTTCTTTGATCCCAATGGCCAACACAGTGATGTTCAATAAGAGACTGCTGATTTAATAAATGGATATGCCCTAGTGATTTCCCTTTGTCTTATATGTATGCATTTTGAATAATTTAACTTTTATTTATATTCTAAACTTTAAAAATGTTTTGTTATATATGTTCCCATTTAATTTCTACTCTAATGTATACAAACTTTTGTAGCCTGAATTTCTCACTTAATCTTCTATCACAAAGATATTTCAATATTTTAAAACATTTTTTATAACTATGTTTAGGCAGATGCATAATGTTACCTCTAGTTACTACCCTTGACTATTTCTTTGTTGTTGAATGAAGACAATTGCAGTTTTCCCCATTATGGATAACACTGTTATAAATACTAGGGTGTGAATAGTTTTTAAAAATTGATCTTGTAAATATCTTGCTTCAGGTACATACCAAGCAATAGGATTAGTGGATCAAGGCATTAATTTTTATATGGCTTTAGAGAAGGGGTCAACAAACTATAGCCTATGGGGCATTGTCTGTTTTTATAAATAAAGTTTTATTGTAAAACAAAGAAACTCTTTCATTGCTTCAAAGGGCAGAGTTGAATAGTTCAGCCTATAAAGCTTAAAATATTTCCTATCAAGCCCTTCACCGACAAATTTGCTAACCCGTGTCTAGAGACATATTACTCAAGTTATTTCTGTGAGACAGTTTTCACTACCAACAAAAAGTAAGTGTTGACCAATTTTACTATGCTTTCATTAGTGACGGGAATTATGGTCATAGGAAAACATGTAGGAATTGCCTTTTCTCCATCATAGTCTCACAATTTTGTACTGAGGGTGAGATTGAGAGATCTAGATTCTAGGTAGGGAGATCTGTACCAAGGGACCCAACCAAGAGACCTTTCAGGGCTTAGAAAATTGCCCTGAAGCTTCGTTATATATATTATACTTCCCCCCAAAAAAGTCTGTTCCTTTTGGAGTCATCATTAACATTTCAACAATGGCCAGGTGCTTCCTACCTCTAACTAATGAGTTTTGTGGAGATCACACCCTCAGCTTATTTGCAATGCCAACAAATCCAAGAGAAATGCAGTCTAAGAGCTCTAAGCCATCAGACTTTGTTACATTATCTACTTTAGTATGTTGAACTGTTGCGGATGTTTTGCCTTCCAAGAGCCCAGTTTAATATACACAAATGTGCCTTAAAGCAAAATTTAGGTTATTGCATAAGGGTCTGCTGATTTGCTTAAGCATGGCATTATGCTGAGATTGCATGCCAGGTGCAAAGGGGCTATCACTTTCCATCATTTCTGTGTTGCAAAATCAAGTAACATGGGCATATTATAGGATAGATTGTCTTCTTGTAATACAATGTGACCCAGTTTGTCAAATAAAAATGGAATGAAAACAGCAGCTTGTAGCAACACCTAAAATATCTTCTGAGTCATTATCTCTTTAATGAAAAGCAACACTGGACAATTTCAATGCAAATTGTAGTTTACCGTCTCATTAACTGAATAATGGCTTATACACATCATGCATTTTTAAGTACCTGAAGGGTTGTAAAATTGTACACCAAAATAAGTCAATAGTCCATTCTCGTAACCATCCTCAGATGACAATTAAGATCTTTCTGTCCTTCATTATTTCACAATGATAATTTATTTGTCTTCCTCAGATGTTAAGTATACCAGAATAAGAGATCCAAGGAACATGCTTACTACATTTGTGGGTATTTAAATAATTTGTCTCACTGTGGATTGTATGGATATTTGATTCTGATTTGCCAGTTGACTAGCATATTTCTTTCTGAGGAGAGTTAGTGGGCCTAAAAGTAAAAGAGGAGCTGACTTTGTGTAAAAAAAAGGCCTCCCAGAACATAAATTACTACTGGGCATCCCCTAGTGCCAGTAAGACAAATATTGCAACTTTTTAATTGAAGCCTACTGAGACCAGTATGTCTCTCTTTTTTCAGTTCATTTAAAACATCTCCCTCCATAACTGATATTTTCCTTTCCATAATCAAGTAATTACTAGGCTAATTTCACTTCTTTTGTACAAACTTTGTATTGTGCTCATCAGCCTGGTTCTTTCACCCTGACAATCCTGGGCTATTGGGTCTGGAATGGCTGCTCCACACCAAGCTTGAATATCTGCAGGCATTTTCTTCCCGATTCACACTGAGCTAGCAATCAATCCCATCTGTTCTTTGTCATTAACAATTCACAATGTACCCAAAGCCATTCTTCAAGTAAAGTCGTAAACTTTCAAGGCAGCTTTCTACATAGATATAGAGAAATATACATATCTGTATCTATCTATATCAACATCTATATCTATATACAATTTTTTATACTCTGCAATTCTCACATAGAATTTGAATACTAACAATACATAGGCATCTGGAAATAACTGTGGACAAACCTCATTGGTATATACTGATAGGCTTGATGAGAAAGAAAATGGTTTTCTATCAACTTTATCATTCTCCATGAAATAGTATCTTATAATTGTTT
Source organism: Homo sapiens (assembly GCF_000001405.40). NCBI lineage: Eukaryota > Metazoa > Chordata > Mammalia > Primates > Hominidae > Homo > Homo sapiens. The sequence continues at coordinate 97,196,934 of NC_000004.12, read as the reverse complement.
GATGTACCATATTTATGATATTGATAAAAGTGAATAAGTTATTTGTTAAAGCCCTTATAGATCTAGGCGTTAACATTCCTTGATTTTTGCTTTGAGTGACTGTTCATTGGCTTAATGTTCCCATATGTGATAGGTTGTCAAAGTAAAGAACAATCAGTACTGAATTTCTCACAGTCCATTTTTTTAGGGTATCTACAATAAAAGATAGCAGTCCATAAAATAGCTATTGTACTACATGTTTTTTCAAATACAAACAAGACAACACTAAATTTAAGGAGCCCTATAAAACAGCGTTTTCCTGCTTTACAATATAACTGAAAATAAACTCCCTTTAATATTTACTTTAAAATATGAACTAAGCTGAGCTGTCATAAATTCGTATAAGAATTGATCTATTGTGTGTGGTATCAAGCCATTTTAATTAAATATTTTGTCTCTTACAATGAACTCTGACAACTTTCACAGGCGAGTACAAGTTTCAGGGAAATACAATCATTTAATGTCTTTAATATATCTCAAAGAATACCTAATACTTAATAATCTTAAATCCACCTCCAAAGTCTCTGAAATTAAGTTTTAATCATAATACTAGATTTATTTTCTTAAGAGATTTAATAACATTTTTTGAAATTATCATTGCTTATTTTAATGTTTTCTTATTATACCATTTACTAGTGCATAACAAGACGTCCGCAGTTTTAAAAAATAATTTCAGGGAACTGTATAAGCTCCTTGAAACCATAGACACTGAAGTATGAAAAAATCCAAAAAGTATATAGTTTATGCAAATTGTATTTTTATTTCTTATTAAGATACTCCTAAAACAAGTATCGACTTTAATATATAATATTTCAATTAAAAGTCTGTGCTAAACATGGGAATTTATTAACCAAACTTTTCTATCATTGCTTATACTTGGGTCTTAAATATTTTGTGGTAAAAAGCGAACAAATGTAAAAGCTCTTGAAATAAGATCTAGGAATTTTTAAATTATGTCCTTTGCATAATCATTAAAGCATCATAATTGGAACCCTTTAAAGTCAATTCATGTAAATAAAAAAATACAAAAGCATAAAATAATAATAAAGTTTCTAAAGTCTCTATTGTTTATTTAGCTTCAGGATATAAAGCAGATTTGTATATATTTTCTTGGATACACCATATTCCTGCCCATTATGTAATTTTTTAGCATGTATTTTCTTCTTTGATCTTTTAGATAGTTTAAAATATTAAGCTTGAGAAAATGTGATTTGAAAGTGCAGTGGGATCTGTGACCAAAAATGTCTATTAAAGGCAGTAGGTGCTACACATTTGTCCCAAAATTCCATTAAGAAGGATGAAATAGACCAGAGAAAAATGGAACAGAATAATAGAGGGAGCATGTCAGGAGGCTGTAGGCTTTGCTTAGACACTCAAAGATAGACAAAAAACAGTTTGCCCTGACATTCTCCTATTTATTTCCAAGTTCTAATAGAGAGAAGGGAACATATTGTAATTTTTTTAGAGCTAGTGACATTTTTGTTAACTATATTTAATGAAAAACTCTTGCCTCTTAGCCTTGATTCAAGCTAGTCATCCAGTCTCCAAATTTTGAATTATATGATTCATCTCAATCCTTCTTTTTCATATTCAGTCACCAAAAATTATGAATTTTTCTTTCAATTTTTTATAATGTTTTATTTAAGATTTTTCACTTTATTTTTATTGTGAACATCCTAATGTACAACTTTATCATCTGATACAGGGATGAATCAAAGAGCTTCCTATGTGTTCTCTCTAACTCCAGTCTTCTTCATCTGATCCATTCTACATGCAACTGACAGATGAAACTTCCTTAAATCATTTTTTAAATTGTGGCATTATCTACTCACTCTTCACATTGAATTTCAAGAGTACATCTTGTAATGTTTCTCTCCATCCAAATAAGCATATATCATATGCTTTCTCAAACATAACTTTAGTTAAGTTATATCAGCCTCTACATATCTGGGTTTTGATATCTACTATGCTTTGTTTAGATTTGGTGTTTGAATTGAGCTTTGAAGACAGAGACTGTAATGCCATTACAAGAAAATACTAGAAAATTTTCAAGTTGATCTTTTCTTGATGGACACAGTGGCTGCATTAGTTGTTCCCACAACTATAATCTAGCTTTTGATTTAACATCAATATCTATTATTGATTATTTATGATCCAATAAATTCCAAGACATAGGTATATTTCAGTATATATTGAAAGAAACCAAATTAGAGACTATGATGTGGTTACAAATTCTTGATAGAAAGGAATCTTTTCCCCAATTAGTCAAACATTAAATTATCTTCTCTATTTTTTATAGGTGACTTTACTTTATAAGACAGGGTTAAGTATCCACTACCTAAGCTCTGAAATTGAGTAAGTCTGGATGTTGACCTGAATCCATTTGAGTTCAGATTTTTATGGTTAAGCACATCTTCATGAATACTCTTCCTTTGGAACTTTAAGAAAGAGTGAATGAAGACAAAAATATAACTGAATAATCAGGATTAATTTTTGTTGAAAATTAACCTAAACATATCAAATAAATTTCTGTTATGGATTAAATTGTGACCACCGAAAAGATACACTGAAGTCCTAACCCCAATACTTAGGAATGTGATGTTATTTGGAAATAGGGTCTTTACCGATATAATCAAGTTAAGGTGAGATTAAATTAGATTTAGTTGGGCCTTAGTTCAGCCACTGGTGTCTGAGAGGAATGCAGACACAAATTAGACAGTAGACAGACATACAGGGAAGAATACCATGTGACAATAGAGGCAGAGATTAGAGTGATGCATGTGCAAGCCAAGGGATGCCAAAGATTGCCAGAAAACACCAGAAGCCAGGAGAGAGGCATGCAAGAAAATCTCAGAGTCCTCCATAAGAAATCCATCTTGCTCATTTCTTAATTTCTCACATCTAACTTCTAGAACTCTCAGAGATAAATTTCTGTTATTTTGAGTCACCCAGTTTGTCGTACTTTGATACGGTATCCTTAGAAAATGAAAACAATGTTTAAGTGTATTAAGTAATAAAACATCTATCATCTATCTATCTATCCATCCTGTATCATCATTTGTCAGTCTATTTGAATTCCATTCATCTATCCATCTATCCATCCATCCTAATAAAGAGTACAAATCTTAAAGCCAGTGAAAGACAAGTTTCAAGACTTTCAGGGAGTTCTTAATTTTTCAAAGCCTCAGTTTTCTCATCTCAAACATGAATAGGTTTTAGGAGTAAATAAAATTTACAATACCAGAAACATTAGTAAAGGATCAACGATTATACACAGATATATATGCAGAGATATAAATATATATATACACATACTTCACACAGTATTGTAGCATCAACTGTTAGTTGTCTGCCGATATCCATGATATCTTTTTTTTTTTTTTTTTTTTGAGATGGAGTCTCACTCTCTCACCCAGGCTGGAGTGCAGTGGCACAATCGTGGCTCACTGCAACCTCTGCCTCTGGGTTCAAGCAATTCTCCCTGCCTCAGCCTCCTGAGTAGCTGGGATTACAGGCACCCACCACCACGCCCGGCTAATTTTTGTATTTTTTAGTAGAGATGGGGTTTCGCCACGTTGCCCAGGCTGGGCTTGAACTCCTGACCTCAGGTGATCCGCCTGCCTCGGCCTCCCAAAGTGCTGGGATTACAGGTGTGAGCCACTGTGCCTGGCCCCATGTTATCTTTATTCATTAGCAATAGATATTCGGATAACTTTGTATTTATCTACAAATACGTGTATATACATAGAATCATTTAAGTGGTTTTGTAGCAGAAATTGCTGGCAGCCTCTCAATATCCACACCCTCCTTTCTTTAGAGCTTCACTTGAATACATAAAAATCTAGAATAAAAAATAAGAGTTTTCCAACTGCTAAAACTCAGAAGTTGTGACCATAGAACTACATCTAGCCATTGAAATATTTATCGGTTTGTCACATTGACTTCCAGTCAGTGTGCTTAAAAGAAGACAGTGCACTTTTTGTTGTCATATTAGATCCTATTTGCTGGCATGTGAACGCAATGACTGGAGCTCGAGTAGTTGCCTCGTATCAAGTAGAAATTGCATGATGAAAACTATATTCTCTACTGAGATTGGTAGAGCAAACGAAAGATTACTTAATTATAGTTTCTGTAGTAGTTAGCTAATTCTAAGAGATGTCTGTATATTAATAACTTGAGAATATTTAAATCTTAATATAAAAGACCTCATATAAACAATGAAACATATAAATGGATTGAATAAAGGAACATTGTATGAGTGCACTCATATTTACCTATTAAGTCCTCCACATTTGTAACTTGGGCACTGATGAACATGGAACCTTCAAATCAGCCCCAAACTTCAGGTCCTCAAACATTTTGTAGATGAGAGAGAGAAATGTTCTTCTTTAGGCAACAATTGCACCAATCTCTAGATTCTCAAGTAATGCATATAAAAGTGAACAATATGCACAGTTAACTTGAAGAGCCTTCAACACACTTCAACTTCATGTTTATCTGGTTAATCAACTACCAAACTCCTTGTCTAGGAACTAGTACTGGCCTTTCACTGGGCTGGTGAGGGCAAGTTCTCAGGGATCCTGGAAATGGATCTCTTTTGGCTTTGATTTACTATGCATTGGTCTGCATTTTATATTTTCCAGCACCATTCACTGCTTGTGAAGCATTGGCAGCCGGCTCTGTCTTTTCCTCACTCTGCTTTAACTGATTTTCTCTTTATGAAATTTTGGGATTGTCTATTGTAAGTGCATAGAATTAATTGTGGCTTTTTCTTGTTGTTCCTCCACCCCCACACTGTATGTGTGTGCAAAATCATAATTTATCCATGTCATCTTATGGGGCTATAGTTGTTCATTGGAAGGGCCTACTTGTTGATCTCAAAGATTTATGTAAGAGAAGAATAACTTGTGGAAAGAGATCTTCTAAGGCTACTGTCTCTCAAAGAAAAATGTTCTGCATTGTGTTTCATTCTTCCTAAGACACATCCCTGTAATAAATATACAGTAAGATCAAAAACATGATTTGCCTTTGGTGCCAGGGCATGGCCAGAGTTCACATCCATGGGTATGTTTACTTTATGCTCCATTCATTCATATACGTTTGTATTTAGTCACGTGCTCTATGCTAGGCAACGAGATGACCCAGTGTGTATTGATAAATGTAAATTCTAGCAGTTACCTTTGAACGTTGTTAATTATTAGAAGCAATTGAACAGCAAAAAAATTATCCCTGTGGCTAGATAATAATAAACACAGTAAATAAATTTGCCTTAAACAAAAAGAAAGCTCGTTGACTGACCATCAAATGTCAATCGATAAACTGCGTTCATCAATTGTTATCTTTCCATGTATGCTACAAAGAGAAAACTATCTACAGAACATTTCTTTGAATTGCCTTCATCTTGGAAAGACAACAGAAACAACAGTAATGACTCTAAATTCTGTTTCTCTGTGTTTCTCTGAGATTCTTATTTTGAGTCATATTTTCCATTAAAATTAGTTTAAAATAAGTAATTTTAAATTCACAGGCTTTAAAACTCAAAGTGCTTTCATAAAACTTTTAATTAGCTATTCTATATGAGAACAGCTTAAAATAGACTGTAATTTACAAATTTATTTTTATATTTAACATTTCATTATATATAATATGCAGATGTAATAATATGTAATGATATATTATGTATTAATATAACAATATTTATTACTATAATTACTATTTCATTATATTATATATGTTTACATTAATAAATTCTTTTTGATATTAGGAAAACTTCAAACATTGGTAATATAACGAGAAAATCTGTGATATAGTGAGAAATTCAACCCTATTCCCAAGGTCAAATCTTCCATTGCTTCCTGAACTCTTCACTGTCATTATTATCATCATTATTATTATCCTTATTATTATTTTTACAGAGAAGATCTTGCTCTGTCACCCAGGCTAGAGTGCAATGGCACAATCATAGCTCACTTCAGCCTCAAACTCCTGGGCTCAAGAGACGTTCCTGCCTCAGCTTCCCAAGTAGCTAGGATTGCAGGCACATGCAACCATGCCTGGCTAATTTTTAATTTTTTGTAGAGAAGGGGTTTTACTATGTTTCCCAGGCTGATTTTGAACTCCTAGCCTCAAGTGATCCTCTTGCCTTGGCCTCCCAAAATGTTAGGATTACAGGTGTGAGCCAACCCACCTGGCCTGAACCCTCCAAAATATTAGTATTTGTCTTTTCAAGAACTTTATTCCAGCAATTATGTTTACCTTTTTTCCTACATTATTATATTTTTCCCTTTCAGTTTGATTATTTTAAGTTTGAAATCTTTTTCATTAAAAACAAAAAACAGGGTTCCTTGATTCCATGTTCCACTCACATTACTTTCCATTTTTCAGCTCTCCTTCACAGTAAAAGTTGATAAAAGTGATAGTTCCCAAAAGAGATATGCAGTGCCACCAATACATCACCTTCTGTTCTCTCTGCTAGTGACTTGTAACTCGCATTCCTCTCATTACTTCATAGAAAACACTCTTTTTAAGAAGATCAGTGACCTTCATTTTGCCAAGTCCTATATTCAAAACTTTGTTCTGATCTTATTTGATCTCTTGGAAATATTCAGTAAAGTTGACACCCTGCTTGGCTTTCAGACTACAGTCATAGTTCCTCCTGTCTCACCTGCTGCTCAGTCTCAGTCTTCTTGGCTTGTTTCTCTTCTCGCAGATGTCTTCTAAATCTTAAAGTTCCCAAGTTTTTGACCACAGTCTCATGTCTTTTTCTGTCTATACATTGACTTCTTGATGATCTAAGGCAGTCTCATGACTCAGAAATACCTGGCATGCTTCTGACTCCCAGTTTTACATTTAAAACCCATGGCATCTCTCATTATCTACCTGTCTACGAGGTATCTCCACTTAGATTTCTAATAAGTTTTGCAAAAAACAATTGAGTGTAAAGAGGAAATTGTAGAACTTAACATCAAAAAATTAGGATAGAGGAAGGGAAAAGAAGAGAAAATAAAGGTTCAGGATAAGAGAGCATGTCTTATGACTACAAAGTAATGAGGTTGACAATTTTCCTCTACAGCAAACTCTTTTTTTTTTTTTTTTTTTTTTTTTTTTTTGAGACGGAGTCTCGCTCTGTCGCCCAGGCTGGAGTGCAGTGGCGGGATCTCAGCTCACTGCAAGCTCCGCCTCCCGGGTTCACGCCATTCTCCTGCCTCAGCCTCCCAAGTAGCTGGGACTACAGGCGCCCGCCACTACGCCCGGCTAATTTTTTGTATTTTTAGTAGAGACGGGGTTTCACCGTTTTAGCCGGGATGGTCTCGATCTCCTGACCTCATGATCCGCCCGCCTCGGCCTCCCAAAGTGCTGGGATTACAGGCGTGAGCCACCGCGCCCGGCCCTCTACAGCAAATTCTAAGGGCAAATTCTTTTTCTTTTTAAAAGGCAAATTCTTCAGAGGAATTTCATTCCAAAACTGCCCTGAGCAAAGACAGTGAAATGGAATAAATTGTGTTCCCCCAAGGGAACTCTTTGAAGTAGAACACTCACTTTGGTTATGTATCCTATAAAATTTAGTAAAAAAATCCTCACTTGTTATTTCATAGGCAATCTATGTAATCATTAAAATTACATTAGAATAATTTTTAAATAGAAGTGCACACACATGCATGCACATACGTGCGCACTCACGCACACCCTCTTCTATAGTAATTGCAGAAATCTTCATCAGAAGGCAGAGTTCAGGGTTTAGATGGAAGCACCTTTGATGTTACGGATCAGGATCAAATTACACTGTGAGCTTTCAGTTTGGCCACATTCAAACAACAGCTTTGATATTTTAGGTCAGTTCAGCAAACATTTATTGAGTTTGTCTTCCATGCAGGCACAGCAGTAGGTATAAAGGGAGATTAAACAGAAAAATCAATTTTTATATAGTTCTTCTATGATTCAGTGAGTAATCAGACACATAAACAACTAAAACAATGCTGGTGAGGGATGCTTCTGATAGAAATGAGAAATATGTGACAAGACAATACAAGCAAAGGGGACAATCATCATGCCAGTAGAGAAGGATTCAAGGTTTCCTTCAGAAGTGTAACTTGAGCTTTTCCTTGAAGAATGGACAGAACGCTGGTAGGTGGAAGGAGTGAGAGAAAGGCACCTGAAGCGGCCGATTTTAAAGAAATAAACATACCTCCCTTGAAGGCTTTGTCCTTTGGCAACCTTCCCTCTATCTTTGATGCCTTTGAGTGCTAATTGCAGATTACTTGCTGCCCTATTACAAGAAATCTACCCACTAACTGACTCCACCAGTCCCACATTGATTGTAGCTAAGTGATAAGTAATATTATTTTCTTTCTTTCTTTTCTTTTTTTTTTTTTTTTTTTTGAGACAGAGCCTCACTCTGTCGCCCAGGCTGGAGTGCAGTGGCGCTGCAAACTCCGCCTTCCGGGTTCACGCCATTCTCCTTCCTCAGCCTCTCGAGCCGCTGGGACTACAGGCGCCCACCACCACACCCAGCGAATTTTTTGTATTTTTAGTAGAGATGAGGTTTCATTGTGTTAGCCAGGATAGTCTCTATCTCCTGACCTCGTGATCCTCCCACCTATGCCTCCTCAAGTGCTGGAATTACAGGCGTGAGCCACCGCGCCCAGCCAGTGATTAGTAATATTTTCAAATGATTGAATTGCCATGAGTAGGTAGTCAGAGACAATATTGAGAGGTAGACTTTCAGTTCTGAAGAAACTCTGGACCAAATATGAACAAAAATACCTGTAAATGATGCTGGCAAGAACCCTGGAAGATCAGGAGAGATGTAGATCTCTCTATCATCTCATGTTTCTGCAGCAAATTCCTTCTAATGTTTCACTTCAGGCCTGGATGCTGGACTGTCAATGACTGCACAGGCCAAGCAAAAGAGACGGCTGAGCAGTTCCTTGATCTTCTGCCAGTGCAGTCTAAGATGAGAAACAGTTCTCCTCAATGCATATGCTGTTCTTATTATGCGATGGTTCATTTTAATTAAAAGTAATGTTTTAAACAGCAAGTGGTTTTGTTTGCTTTTGCTTTAGATGAATAATACAGAGGAAAGCCCACGTGGACTGAGGACATACTACATGGAGCATGGAGGTGATAAGACCATTTCTTCAGGAATGACCAGAATAGCATAAAAGATCAATGGAAGCATTGCCAAAAAAGGAAGACTGAAATCTCAACCTTTCAGGGAGTAATTTATCATTTGGATGAGCCTAATGAGAAAAGCAGTGCAGTGAATGATGTGACAATATGAAACAACAAAATAGTGAATGATTAACGAGTGACAAATTGAGAGGGAAAAAAAAGGATAACGCTTTCATTATGGTACAAAAGAGAATTTGACAAACTCATCCAAGAAAGCAACCACTTTTTCCTCCGTCTTAGTTGAACGCCTTGAAAAACGAACAATCATACTGCTTTCAAGGAATTTCATAAGAGTAAAATAGTTAAACTTCTATAGAATTTCAATAATTAAGGGTTACAAATATATTTAAAGGATTTTGAAGCTTTAATAATCAAAACTTTATAAAAATTATGCTGCAATTATTCAGGGCAAATCAAAATGAGAAAAAACCGTGGCATTTTGATAAGTATAAAAGTTATAAAATAAAACATATTATTTGTTACAAATGACAATTTAATGAAATATAGTTTTGCATTGAATCTAGCTAGGAAATTTTAGATCATATGTTTTATGGAATTGATTTGTATTGTCTGACATCTAATTTATAGCTGGTCATGAATTCAAATTCTTGGCACTGCTTTTTTCTAACTATGTAGCTTGGGAAAATATCTTAAGTTTTCTAAGTTTCCTAAGATTCAATTTCCTCATATTCTAACTTGACCTAACACACTCTATCTGCCAAAATTATTGTGAAGAATTAATGAGCTAATATCTGGGACAGAAACAAAAAAATCAAAGCCTAGTACCTGTCACAGAACACACATCCACAATGTCATTTTCCTCCCATTATGTCATTAGTCTCAACAAAAAGTTAAAAATCCAACCTCATCCAAAATCCAATCAAAATTAATCAGAATAAGAGAAGTTGGGCAAATTGATTTCCATTAACTTCAAGTGCAAAGTGTTTTGCACACTCCTGGGATTTACATGATGGAGAAGAACAGATTCGAATGAACTTTGCCTAACACAAATTAGATAAATATCCTTTTCCTTGAGGACATTAACATTTAGTAAACATTAATGAAAAAAAAACAAGTAATGCATGCCTAATCATGTGCTACATATGCCTAATCTGAATTCATCTTTAAACGGGGAACGGTTTGAATGGAAAATTCATGTTTTGGGTTCCTACTTGTGACATGTAATGATAATAATTTGTGTATTCCAGTAAAATTCCATGCCTTTTGAAATGTCTCTGTATGAATATGTTGACTAAAATGGGTCATTTTAGAAAGACTTATGAAGTTTGATAACTGGAAAAAGTCCTAAGAATGGCCTAATTTATGTAAATAATATACACAATGATAATAGAAATGTAACTAATATTAGTTTGTTAATAATGCTTTTATTTCTGAAAATACAAACAAGTCTGTAGAGTCACATGAACAATGGGGGAAATATTTTTCTGACTATGTCTGTAGAACTTTCCAAAAGTGGAATCTCTAAGTTGCTTTTTTTTTTTTTTTTTTTTGGTATGGACTTTTAATTAATGACACCCTTGTAGAAAAATAGAATTTAAAAAAGGGGGGTGGGGGACTAGGGAAGGGGTAGCATTAGGAGAAATACCTAATGTGGATGACGAGTTAATGGGTGCAGCAAGCCACCATGGCAGGTGTATAACTATGTAACAAACCTGCAGGTTCTGCACATGTATCCCAGAACTTTAAGTATAATAAATAAAGAAAAATATATAAGAGATTTTAAGACATTAAATGGCCATTTTGAATTAACTCCTAAAACTAAAAATCAATGTCCTCAGCATTTTTAAAAGAACAACTATGGCAGAAAATGAGAAACAAAGTAAGTGGTGGAGTGAGGGATGAAGATGGGGCTGAGTAATAGGGTGATAAATTGAAAGGTTTTCAGTATGGATTTGACTGAATGACCTGGGGCCCAGGTCACCTGACTCCTAACCAAATTATTTTCCCTGTAATAAAAGTTTATATTCTAAGCAGAGAAAATATGGTTGGATGGATGGATGAATCGATAGATGGATGGATGGATGGATGGATTATAGATATGAAAATCTTTCTGAATTCTATTACATACTTTGTGGAGAAAATTATTTTCAGTATTAGTTATTCATCTGGGTTGTAATAGAGTGAGTCATTTGAGCTGAGTTGGAAAATTTTCCTTAAACATAAATTGCCCCAGACTGTCATTTTGTTCTCAATGTTTCATTCTGCAGTGTTTGGTTCTCTCTTGATGTCAAACTGTCAGAAATCATCCTGTGGTCAGTACACCTGCCACAGCAGTCACTTCTTGTCTTCCCAGGGGAAACAGGATAGTATACTTACAGAGAAAACTGAATGAACCTTGGAGTTAGACAAACCTCAGCTATACCCTGGATCTCCCATTGTGGGCTAGCTACTCAAACTAAATGAAGCTCTCTATCTTCACCTGAAAAATGAGGATAACAGGAAGTGCCTGTTGTGTGAATCAAGTAAACAAAATTTTAAAAATATGTAACAGAATTCCTGAAACACATACATACAGTCAATGGAACTTTTCTCCTTTCTACATTCTCCCATGCTGTTGAAGGCATGCCTTTGTTGTTGTTGTGTTGTTGGAGAGTGCTAATCTAGCTTGATAAGGTGTTATATGAAATAATGGTAAATTGGCTGTGATTGGATGTCTGAGAAGCTCTTCAATGTGTTTACATTTGACTGTTTTGGCTGCCTACATCTAAGTTTTTGGCTGTTTTCTGAATAATTGAGATTTTTTGAACATGTGAAATGTCACCACAGTGTTGCAAAACTCTATATTCTTTATGTTCCTGTGTTAAGATAAAAATCTCATGTGTCAAATTGATAACCCGAGTTTTCCTACCCATGTATGTCATAAGAAAATCACTGAAAAAGGTAAATATATCAATTAAGTTATTTATCATATAGACTATAAATTTTCCCAGATTGTTGGGGTTTTTTTTTTAGTACTTTACCTAGCATACATTTTAATTTAGTCAAACTGGTTTCATGTATATTTTACTAAACATGCTTCAGACATGGTACCAGTTCAATATTCTAATTTAATTTCTATAGATTATTAAAAATTTTTAAATTATACCAGTTTTACTGAGTTCTGTTTTTAATACATTTTAGGAATTCTGAAAAATAGAATTCCCACAGAAAGGAATCCTAAGAAAATTCATGTGAAGAATGAGATCTTATTTGGGGGATTAATTATAATCTGGAAGTTTTACTTATAACCTCGTATTTCATATATATTATAAGATACTTACATTGAATTATAGAAATATACAAACAATAATTGAAAAGCTTAACTTCTGCCTCTGAAGATATGATTATCTCATCTCCTGGCCTCTTTTGTGTTTGTTTTAAGGCAATAAATACTTGCTTTTCTCCTCCTGATCATGAGAAAATGATCTTTATTTAATATAAATTTGATTTATATTTTATCTTTTAAAATTATTATTTTGGTTATATCTGCTCAATAATAGAAAAAAATTATGGCTTAACTGATATTGAATTATTTCAAATATTACAACAAGAAAGCATACAGAAATCACAGTACAGAGATATAAAATATGTAAAATAAAAAGTTTAAAAAGATTTCAAATGTAGCAGAAAAATTTGTTGATTCTGTTTGCACCTAGATTTTGTTTTCTCATAATGACCTACTCAAATGAGTGACTCTAAGGAAATTTCGTTGACTTCCTCTTTCACATATACAGTTTTTATTGCATTTCGTAAAGATTGTTTTGTTCAAGAAATTTGTTTTAAGAAAAGGAGAAAATATTGGAAAAATAAACATCAATGGATGCATTTTCAAGGTACAGTTTCTATTGTCTTATAGATCTGAGACCTAGGTATTAACGACATTGCTTTAATAACTTAAGTGACAATATTTTCCAAAAGTACCTACGATATCTCCCATTTCACATTCTCCTCTTAAAATATTATTTTAATATTCCTTACATCCAGAGATAAGTTCTATATTCCCTCTCCTCAAACCTGGATGTAATTAAATCTATATTAGAAATGCTGCCATGTGACTTCTAAGTCTGTGTCATAAACAGTAATACAACTTCTGACTGATTTTTTTGCATGCTTGCTCTTGGAACCCAGCCACCATGAGCAACTAGATAATGGAGAGGCCTAAATAGAGAAGTGACCTAACCTCTTGGCCCCTAGACCAGGTTGGCTCCCTGCTGACAGCTACTACTAACTTGCCAACCATTTGTATAGACCATCTTGGAAGTGGATTCTCCAGCTTGTAGTTAAGCCACCGTGTGGGTTTTCCAGAGAGCAATGATGAAAAACCTTTCTGAAACCTGCCCCAATTGCATTTTGGATCAAATTAAATGATTGTTGTTATTTTAAGCCACTAAGTTTTAAGCCCTTGTTTTAAGATAACTGATACAGATAATTTCCTTAAGTAATGATATCCAACATCTTAACTATTAACTTTGTATGAGTTAAGAGTAAACACTGTTCATTTTCCTAGTTGTGACTCAAACAATTTTGCTTTATCAATTTTAATAAGAGGAAAAGGATTTTCATATGTATTTTCCTATTAATGTTATATATAAATATTCAAATACATCAATATTTGATGATATTCAAATATGTCGAGGTTGAAAGTTTGATTATATTGACACAAATATCTAACAAGTTTCAATTACCTACTTGGATAACAGTTTTACTTTAAGCTTCAAGCTGAGCTCAGTATTATGTAAATCTGTAAGTGCCATGGTGTTTTGTTTTAGCTCAATTTGAGAAGTACAGACTTTAGAATTGTCCATTTTCAAGAAAGTGTCTTCTAAGAGCCATTCTTTGTGACTGTGGATTAACAACAACATATAAAGAAAGGATGCAGGTCACCTTTGAAATAGCCTTGTTTTCTCTTACCAAAATAGCTTTATTCATGAAATGATAGAACAAACATAGTCACTGCCTAATGGTGTGTCTGGAGTTTATTCCTTCTGGTGGGTTCTTCGTCTCGCTGACCTCAACAATGAAGCTGCGGACCCTCACAGTGAGTGTTACAGCTCTTAAAGATTGTGTGTCCGGAGTTTGTTCCTTCAGATGTTCAGATGTGTCCGGAGTTTCTTCCTTCTGGTGGGTTCATGGTCTCGCTGGCTTCAGGAGTGAAGCCGCAGACCTCCACAGTGAGTGTTACAGCTCTTAAAGGTGGTGTGTCTGGAGTTGTTTGTTCCTCTCGGTGGGTTTGTGGTCTCGCTGACTTCAGCAATGAAGCCGCAGACCCTCATGGTGAGTATTACAGCTCATAAAGGTAGTGTGGACCCAAAGAGTGAGCAGCAGCAAGATTTATTGGTAAGAACGAAAGAACAAAGCTTCCACAGCATGGAAGGGGATCTGAGTGGGTTGCCACTACTGGCTCAGGTGGCCAGCTTTTATTCTCTTATTTGATCCCGCCCATGTCCAGCTGATTGGTCCATTTTACAGAGTGTTGATTGGTGTGTTTACAATCCTTTAGCTAGACACAGAGCGCTGATTGGTGTGTTTTTACAGAATGCTGATTGGGGCATTTACAATCCTTTAGCTAGACACAGAGCACTGATTGGTGCATTTTTAGAGTGCTGATTGGTGCATTTACAATCCTTTAGCTAGACACAGAGTGCTGATTGGTGCATTTATAATCCTTTAGCTAGACACAGAGCGCTGATTGGTGTGTTTACAATCCTCTCGCTAGACAAAAAGTTCTCTAAGTCTCCACTCAACCCAGGAAGTCCAGCTGGCTTCACCTCTCAATGCAATAAGTTACCCTAACTGAATTTAATGATACTTTCCAAAATGTAGAAAATTAAATGATCTCATATGTTATTATAGTTTGTCTGATCTTTCTCAGGCAGCTGAAAGACAAAATAGATTAAATACATCTGCAGAATATCTAAATTTTAGAAGAGGTTTTAAAATGAACACTGGGTAAAACAGGGACAAAGATTAAAATAGAATCAACATACACTTTGGGAGATCAAAGGCAGGTTAAAAGAGTGATGTCCAATTCTAATGTGAGTAAACATATACAACTATAACAAAAAAGTTATAATTCATAAGACAAGATAATGCCAATGACTATCATAATCTCAAAAAAGATTTATACAAAAAGATAATTGTTTTTACTTACATGGAAATTAAAGGATTAATTTTTCAACAAATAAGAGATTATAAACTTTAAAGTAAAAATAATGATACCTTCAAATAATTTTTTAAATAGCAAGGAGTTCAATTAATATGCAGAAGGAGAATTCAAAGAAATGGTGAACATACTTAAGAAAAATTTTTACCCTATATGCAGAAAAAAAGAAAAAAAATTAAAGAATTATATATATCCATATATAATCCTTATAAATGTGTTATATATATTTACCTTATATATAAATTATTTATAATATATAATTCTATTAAATACAAATCATATAATTGTGTGTATATATTATATATATGTTTATATCTAATATATATTATATATAATATATGTTTATATCTAATATATATTATATATAACTGTGTGTATGTATATATAATACACACATACACGCACACACACAATTAACTGAGTTACTTTGTGAGTTACACTGATTAAGAAGAAGCTGAATGGCCCAATACCATTTGCACCAATACCAAAGGTGCAAATAACAGGAACAGATAAAATAGCAAATAAAGGTGACCAAAAAATAATGAAGATTTTAAATTCATATTAATTAAATGCAAGCATAAAAAATTATAAAATTGCACTTTGGGAGGCCGAGGTGGGCAGATCATGAGGTCAGGACCAACATGGTGAAACCCCGTCTCTACTAAAAATACAAAAATTAGCTGGGCTTGGTGGTGGGCACCTGTAATCCCAGCTACTCAGGAGGCTGAGGGAGGAGAATCACTTGAACCCACGAGGCAGAGTTTGCAGTGAGCCAAGATTGTGCCATTGCACTCCAGCCTGGGCAACAGAGCGAAACTACATCTAAAAAAAAGATTGTGAAATTGTATGTTTTATATTCTAGAGTGAGAGTTATTAAAGACCTTAATAATATAATTCCAAGGTTGGTGAGATTGTAAAGAAGGTGAGGATTCTCATACAATGCTGATAGACAGATAATCTGGTGTATTTCTGATGGACAATGTGGTAACAAGTATCAAAATGTAAAACTTGTTTAGAGGTTGTCTCAATAAGCTTATTGAGACAAGCGCTCATTAAGCCCACTTTCCTGTTTTTTCTTGGGCATATAGCTGAATAAGTTTTCTTATTAGATGGTAGACCTTCTACTAGGTGGTCATGTGACTAAGATTTGTCCAATGGAAACTGTTGGAAGTGTTATATAACACCTTAAATCCCGACCACTAAAAAATTTCATACATAATTTATTATATCTTATTTCATATCTAACAATTGAATTATGATAATTCAGCATAGGACTTGAAGACCCGAAAGGATGGAGGAACTATGAGTTGGAAGGTGTCTGAGTGCCTGATTCACTGTATGGAAAAGACCCATTCAGGACAGCTGGCTAACAAAGAACCCATGCGTTGCATAATTGCATGCTGAGAAAATAAAACATTTGTGTTAATAATTCACTAAAATTTGGGTGTTGTTTTTAATAAACACTGATTTTTACACAAATTGGTACCTTAAAGTGTAATGCTGCCATAGCAAAACCTAATATATGAGGCACTGAGTTAAGTAGACAGATGGCTGGCAGCAAGGAAACTGTTATCAGAGGGTAGGAAGATGGCAATCTAGTAATATGGTAGTGGGATATTTGGAAAGCAGACTACATGTTTTACTGATCTTATAGTTCTAGAGAAAGTGGTTGGAAAGAATCAAAGTGTTTGTGTGTTAGTATGCATTATTGGCTGCCTTTGGCAAGTTAGAAGAAAATAATGAGCTCAAGAAAGTCTTGGCTGGTGTGTAACTGGATGTGAAAAGGAATTTAGAGAGTACAGAGATTTAGAGCAATAAAAGTTTATAAAACCTTACGCTCCCTAGATTTAAACAGTCAAAGACAAGATTGAAAAAAGCTTTAAGCACCAAAGATATTGCAAAGCTTCTAAATTGAAAACAATGAGTCATTTCTGTGGTAAAGATTAGATTAAACATATGGACTTTCCACCTATTGTTAAAGTTGGCCAAAGTAATTTCTGTTACCTTGAGATTGCCCCATGGGTTTGAGAAAGCAAGAAAGAGTCTTGAGAATTTTTTTGCCTGAAAAATAGCTTTGGCTGCAGTTAGTGCCACACGGAACTCACTGGAAGCAAATATAAGAGACCACATTTATGAGAGAATATAATAATATTACCAAAGGAAACATGAGCCTGAACTTGAAAGCCACTGACCAAAAGATAAAATAATGTTTTAGTTCCCATATTTGCATGAAGAGGAATAGGCTGTGAAACCAGGGAAGGCCTAAAAAGAGTGTCAAGTAATATCTTCCACTTATAGGGGGTCATGATAAGGCCTCCCTTGTGGCATTTCTATATGTCTGCTCTCCAGTGCCTGCCGTTTCAGAATATATCTCTGAGAAAGGAGTAAGTAGAAAAAAACATGAAACTAACGAATATTTCGGGACCAGAGAAATATACTATGTCAGAGACTGTGATGAGTTGACCAAAAGACATATTCCTTTTCCACTTGGGCACACAGCTAGACCATGTTTTTCATAAATATGATCATATGACTTAATTATGGAGTGTGGATCAAAGTGATGTGTGATACCTCTAGGCCCAACTCCTAAAAAAATCTGCAAAGTGATCCTCCACACTTTCTCTGTAGGGAACCCACCGAAGGACTCCAGTCCCTAGACAACGGCAAAGTGTTGATATAGGAGGAACCTGAGTCTGTAAAACACCACTTGGAAAAAATCTTCTTTCCTCATAATAGGCTGTGGCATGACCAAGAAATAAACTTTACTGCATTAAGCCACTAAATTTTGGTGTGAAGTGTTACAGCAACTAGTACATTCTGACTAACCTATCATCTGAGTTGATAAGTGTATTTCATTGATTTTTCTTCCCAAGTTTCTATGATTGGTATGTGTGCAAAAATATATGTACAAGATGTTAACTGAATTATGCTTATAATAACAATACTTTGAAAAATAACATCTTTAAGGCACTAAATTAATTATGATTCTTCATATAATTAAATGTTTGGCATCTATTAAAATTATAATACTGTTAAAATAAGTGTGTAATAGTTATTTGATTCTATATATACTACAGTATTAATGGTGGTTGCCCCTACATAGTAAAATTATGAATGATTACTTTTCTCTTAATTCTTTTAAGGACTGTCTGAATCATTTTACTATTCTCATGTGCTACTTTCACAACCAGAAATTTTTAAAAGTTATTTTTTAAATCAAAATTGTTCTTACCAGGCATAACAGATTTTATTTGTCCATTAAATCTAACTAATAACATAGATTGTGCCTTTCTGAAATCAATTTTTTTAAGTCTGATTTTCTCAGAAAGGTGGAAGAGGTCTTCCAATTATCAGAGTCTGCTTCTCTTTAAATGAGTGGAGAGATTGAAGGGGAACTTAATGCCATCACTGTCCCGTTGTGCTGGACTAGAAATTTTTTTTAGAATGATAAATTCAAGCCATAATAAATTCCTTCCATACTTTTGATGGAGTTAGTTGCTTTTAAAACCCTGTCCAACTTACCCAATCTGTTTCTTTTGTAAACCAGTCTATGCATTAGTCTCTATTTATACCCATCAATCTGCAGTCCTTAGCTTTGAGTTAAACATAATCTTCCTCATCTCAATCCTGCAATTATACAGAGTTTTATATCAATATGGATGGTATATTACTTTCCTTGAGGTGCCATAGTAAATTACCACAAAGTCGGTGGCTTAAGACAACAGAAATATATTCTCTCACAATTCTTGAAGGTAGAAGTCCAAAATCAAGCTGTTGGCAGGACCATATTGTGTTTGAAAGCTTTTTGCAATAATCCTTCCTTGCTTCTAGCTTCTGATGGCAGCTTCTAGCTTCTAGCTTCTGATGGTTGCTAGCAGTCTTTGGCACTCCCTCGTGTCTGAATGTATCACCCCAATCTCTGCTTCCATCTTGATGTGGACTTCTACCCTATCTATCTATATGTCCATGCTCCAATTTTTTCCTTATAAAGGACATCTGTCATACTTGAATTAGGCCCCACCCTAATTCTGTATGGTCTCATCTTAACTTGATTATATCTGCAAAGATCTTACTTTCAAATAAAGTCATATTTACAAGTTCCAAGTGCACATGAATTTGGGGAAAAATTTTTCAACCCAGTACAGATGATTCATCCAAAATCCCTGGCTCTGTGTTCTTTGACTTTCTCATTTTCAACAAGATTACACTAGTCCTTAGTCACATTCTCTTTCCATCATACCCTGGTACTTATCTTGGTACTTGTCACAACCTAAAGCCACTTCATTTCTGAAATATTAAACTCAAACTCTGCAGTCTCTGGCCAAAACCTCTTTTATCTTCTAATTTGCTTTCCACTGTTTCTGCTATATCTCAAACTCTTTGGAGCTTCCACTCCGTTGACCCCTCTAATTCTCCTGATGCATCTTCATCTTCTAGCCTACTATAGTTTGAATATGGTTTGTTTGTCCTCACCAAATCTCATGTTGAAATTTGATCCCCAATGTTGGAGGTGGGACTTTAGTGGGGGTGTTTGGGTCATGGAGGTGGGTCCCTCATGAACAGATTAAATGCACTTCTGGGCAAGGAGGTGTGAGTGCTCTGCTCACTCTAGTAGTTTCCAGGAGAGCTGGTTGTTATAAAAAGCCTACCACCTCCTTCCTCTCTCCCTCTTGTTTCTCTTCTCATCATGTGATCTCTATACAGGACAACTTCCGTTCACCCTCTTCCATGAGTGAAAGCAGCCTGAGGCCCTTACCAGATGCAGATGCCCAATCTGCTTTCCAACCATCGGAATCATGAGCCAAATAAACTTTTTGCTCCTTTGTAAATTACCTAGCCTCAGGTATTCTTTTATAGCAACACTAAATTGACTAAGACATTGCCTTTGCCCACAGTCCTATCCATCTTGGATTCTGTAGTCCATCTCTTGCAAGCAGTCATCACTATCTCACTGCCTTACTTCTGGTCTTTTGTCACACTTTCATTAAAACCCCAAACTCTAGTCCAGGCATGATGGCTCATGCTTGTAATCCCAGCACTTTGGGAGGCTGAGGGGGACAGATCACTAGGTCAGGAGTTCAAGACCAGCCTGGCTGAGACCATGGTGAAGCCCCATCTCTCTAAAAATACAAAAAAATAGTTGGGCATGGTGGTGCATGCCTGTAATCCCAGCTACTAGGGAGACTGAGGCAGGAGAATCACTTGAACCCAGGAAGCGGAGGTTTTAGTGAGGCCAGATCGTGCCACTGCACTTCAGCTGGGCAAGAGTGAAAACTCCATCTAAAAAAAAAAACAGAAAGCAAAAAACAAAAAACAAAAACCCTGAATGAATTCAACCATCTACTTTTGTTTTGTATTTATATCCAGGATCCTCATCCCTTATGCAAAATAATTTACATAATCAATTTTATTGTTATCATCATAAATTTGGTATAAAAATATAAATTGGACTTTCAACACTCCTCAGTAATTATGTTTGGTACCTTATCTTTTCTAGTCACTTTCTCATTTTTCTCAACTACAAGTTTCAATAATATATTTTTGACTTTTTCTGTAAATAGATGACACTTTGACTGTAGGCTTATTTTGGAAATGCCCTTTCCTTTGGCTTCCAGGATTCTCCCTGGCCACTTTCTCAGTCTCCTTTGCAGGACTATCCCACCTTTACTCACTCTTTAATGCTGGTATATTGGTGAAACTCAAGATTCTTTCCAAAGTTATTTAGACCTGTTCTTACTTAGTAGACACACTGCCAAGAAAAAATCATCCATTTCCATAGTTTCAATTATAATTTATATGTTAAAGAATTTCAATTTGGTACCTCCAGCTATATCTACCTTCTAAGCATCAGGGCTATGTATCGAACTACCTACGTGTACTTCTACCTGGATGTCTTAAAAGTATATTAACTACAACATGTTGCAAGATTATCTCCTGGTTTCTATCAATAAACCTATGTATTTCCTGCCAGAAATAGTCATACTAATAGCTATTCTCCTGTCCAAATCAGAAAGCTTAGCATTGTATTTGCCCCCCTCTCCTCCTTCAAAGACCAACTTTGTCATTCAGTCATTTAAAAAATACTTACTGAACACTGCAGTATATTGGACATTGTGTTAGACACTGGGTCAACTATGAGGAGCAAGAATAAGCATGAATCCATTCCTAATGGAGCTCACATTCTAATGTTGGAAACAAATGATAAACATTAATTCTATAACCATGCCAATACATAAAATGTTATCATTGTGATGAATATATGAATGAGAGAGACAAAGCACTAAAATAACATAATTTAACTTTGGGATACCAGGGAAAGGTATCCTGAGAAAGTAAAGATGGGTTCACAACTGTAATCCCAGCACTTTGGGAAGCTGAGGCGGGTGGATCACCTGAGTTCAGGAGTTTCAGACCAGCCTGGCCAACATGGTGAAACTCCGTCTCTACTAAAAATACAAAAAATTAACCAGGTATGGTGGCACACACCTCTAGTCCAAGCTACTCGGGAGGCTGAGGCATGAGAATCGCTTGAACTCGGGAGGGAAAAGTTGCAGTGAGCCAAGATCACAATACTGCACTCTAGCCTGGGCAGGAGAGCAAGACTCTGTCTCAAAAAAAAAAAAAAAAAAAAAAAGTAAAGATGGGATGAGACACGAAATAAGAGTGAGGATTTATCAGGCGAAAATGAGAGAAGAGGATAAGTATTAGCAAAGGCCCTGTGGCAAGGGGAAGTATCCTCAGGACAGGGCCTAGGAGCCAGTGGTGTGAGATGTGCTTGGTAGCATATATATATGAGTCAGACTGAGCAAGGCCTTATAGGTCTTGTTAAGTGAATTTTATGTTCATTCTAGGAAATGGAGAGTTTTTGAAGCATTTTAAGCATGAATGTGGCATGATTATGGGATAAGAATATGAATATGAATGAATATGGGGTGGGAAGATAGGAGAGGAAGTTGTCAGAAAGAATCTGGCCATTCTGGTTTGTGTAACAGGGCACACACTGGACTGACCTCTTAAGTCCTCAAAGTCAGCTACTTTCTTATCTCACTTAGATCTGCAGAAGCTTTCTCACCAGTCTCCCAGATTTCCCATTGCTCCCTGCCAGATTCTTTACCCTATTTTCTAAATAAAGAGTCTAATTAGTTTACACCTCCAGTACTCAGCATAAAGCCCAAATCCTTCATCTTACTGGCAGAAAATACCTTGTAATTATCTGATTTTTTGAATCTTCCAAAACTCATGTCTTGCCTGGTTCTATTTAGATGTCACTTGAAGCAATAATCAAATTGAACTATTTTCAGTTTTGTTAATGTTCTATGTTACTTCTTGATCTTAAAATTCTCTAATGCTATCTTATCTAATGAGATCATGCTCCCACATCTTATCTTCATTTTCTGGACTAATCCTTATTTAGCCTTCAAGAGCTGGCCTAGACTTCATGCCTCCAGGAAGCCTTCTGTTAAAGCTCTTTACTACAAATACTGGATATGTGCCCTTATCCATTTGTACTCATCTAGTAGCCTGTATTTTCTTTGGTTGTAATAGTTCCTAATTTTTTGTGATTATTTATTTGTCTATGTTTCTCAGATCATAAACACTTTGAATGTAGGAGTCATATTCTGTTCATTGTCTCTCTAGAATCTGGCATTGTAAGCCATCAATCAACAATTGGTGAAAAAATATTGCATTTTTGAATAAATAGATAAATGAAATTTTAAATGTCATAATAGGGAATTTGCATTTAATGTGCATGCCCCAAAGCATAATACTTCCAGGGTTACACCAGAGAAATTCCTTAATGAAATAAGTTTGATAACATCTTTTTCAACTTTTTTTTCTTTTTATAGCCTATATTATGTCAACTCACTGACAAGTTTCCCAGAGAGTTTTCTACATTCTTTACCAGATTGGAGGTAAATAATACTTCTTTGTTATTGCTATACTACCATGAAAAAGCTTTGTATTTTATTAGTAATAGATATAATATAATATGGAATTATAATATAATAATAGTAATAATTCATCTGTTGATCAAGTATTATATACATTCTAGATACTTTTCCAAATGCTTTACATGTATTAATTTGTCTGATAACAATGTTATACAGGAGAGATAATTAGTATCACATTTTGTACACAAGAAAAACGAGACATTGAAAGGCTAAGTAACTTTTCAAAGACCACACATCCAGTAAGGGCCAGAGTGAGAATTGGAATCCAGGCATGCTACCTTTGGAGTCTGTGCTGTTATCTTCTATTCACATTATCTCTAAATCTTGCATAATATGAAATAACCAGAAGATTTTTTTAAGTAAGTTGCATTTGGAAGAGAGCACTGAAAACCCACAGAATATTAGATAACATCAGTGCATGCTTTCCCCAAAATGACATTTGTTATTTTCCCTCGAGAAGTACCTGTGCTTTAAACATGTCCACAGTTTCTGACTAGAGCCTGAGTACCAAAAAAAAAATTTGTTCAGGATCTAGTACAAAAATAAATGTGTAAAGCTCATATGAAAATTAAGTAATAGGAAACAACAAAAGATAAATGATATTTGGACCACATCCAAATTAGTACCTCCAAAGTACAAATTACTTTACAGTCTAGGCATCAATAAATGCAGCAGGTGGAGCTGTGTGTCTCTAACTTTTATTTGCGAAAGTACTTGATGGAGACATATTGATAACTTTTGATGAAGTGATTATTATTTGCTCTACTTTTCCAAGGTCTATTTCAGAACTATTTTTTCAGACTATACAAAATGGGTAGGAGTGGTTGAGTAATTTTTTTTCTTTGGAATATAAGTATTATCTGTTAACAATTAAGTATATGAAGTATGTACAAATATTATATAATAATGATAGGTTTGGCAATAAGAGGCAGTAACCAGTAGTAGTCATTATTAAAATTATTTACTTATTTTGAAAATACTAATGGGGTGAGAGAGGCCTATTTTCTTCTTCCTTTACCTTATTCTTCTCTGTGAGAAGTGAGCCAGTTTCACATTGATTAGATAGGTCTTACACTTCATGATGCGATGCTTTAAGTAATGGAAAACAAAATAATGCCACAATTTACAAGAATGATTGATAAGAAAATATGTGCTGTGTCTTTGTCTAGATGTATTTATTTCTTAAACTGCTTATTTTTTGAAGTCATCATAACACTATAATATGTTAGTTTATTTATATGTTTATTTAACAGACATTTACTGACCACCTTCTATGTTTAGGCATTCTTTCAGTGATAAGTGTCCAGTGGTTCACCAGACAGACACAAATACTTATCCTCATCAGAGCTTACATTCTGGTGGGGAAGACAGACAATAAACAAAATAATTAAGTAAAATATATAGTTTTTAGGTAGCGATAATGTCTATGGGGGAAAATAAAGCAAAGAAAGAGAATGAAGACTGCTAGTGGAAGGGGTAACAGTTTGTTTTAAAATGGTCAAAGAAGACACAAGGGTAAAGACTTAAAAAAGAGAGTCAGCAACATGAATATATGAAGAAAACAGGTTTCAGGCAAAGCAAAGAGCAAGTATAATCCTTGTTCAAGAGTGCTGGTGTGGCCGTGCAGAAAGAGCAACAGGAGATGAAAAGAAGATGAATATCTAGGTCTAAGACGTTTACCTTTTTGTGAATGAGATGGTATGTTGTTGAAGGGTTTTGAAAAGCAGAGTGACATCACCTGATATATTTAAACTGGGCCACCCTAGTTACTGTGTTGGGAAATATGTAAAGGATACAAAAGATTAGTTGGGACACTAGAACACTGATACAGGCAAGAGATTATAGTGTTTGAACTTGAGTTGGTGGGAAACGATCATATTCTGGAAATATATTGAAAGTAAAACCAACAAGATTGTAGACTGTGAGAGCAAAACCAAATCCTGAATGACTCAAAATTTTTGGACTGAATAATTGGAATCCTGACATTTGCTATAAAATCAAATGAGGGAGAACGGAATGTATGTGTGTTGGGGGGAATAGAAGGGGGAGATCAAGAGTTTGTTTTTGGATATGTTAAGTCTGAGATGAGTATTACATATTTAAATGTAAAGATCAAGTATTAATAGTTAGTTGTATATAAAAGTATAAACTTCAGAGAAGAGATCTGGCTTTGTAGTACAAATTTGGGAGTCATCATCATAAAGAAGGTGTGATGGTTAATATTGTCAATTTGATTAGATTGAAGGATGCAAAGTATTGTAACTGGGTGTATCTGTGAGGGTGTTGCCGAAGGAGATTAGCATTTGAGTCAGCAGACTGAGAGAGGCGGACCCACCCTCAATCAGGGTGGGCACCATCTAATCAGCTGCCAGTGTGGCTAGAATAAAGTAGGGTAGGCTGGAGAAAGTGGAATGAGGAGCCTGGCTGAGTCTTTCAGCCTTCATATTTCTCCTGTGCTGGATGCTTCCTGCCCTCAAACATCAGACTGCAGGTTCTTCAGCTTTTGGACTCTTGGAGTTACATCAGTGATTTGCCAGAGGCTCTTAGGCCTTCAGCCACAGACTGAAGGCTGCACTGTTGGCTTCCCTACTTTTCAGGTTTTGAGACTCAGACTGGCTTCTTTGCTTCTCAACTTGCAGATGGCCTACTATGAGACTTCACCTTGTGATCGTGTGAGTCAATACATTTTAATAAACTCCCCTTCATATATACATCTATCCTATTGGTTTTGTTCCTCTAGAGAACCCTGACTAATACAGAAGGTATTTAACACCATGAAACAAGAAAGCAAACATTAAGGGAGTGAGGATATAGATATTCTCTGTCTAATATGGTAACCACAACCACATATAGACACTGACCACTTGAAATACAACTACTCCCAATTGAGACGTACTGTTAAGTGTGAAATATACACCAGATTTTGAAGACGTAGTATGCAAAAAAGAATGGAAAACATTTTACTAACTTATCTAATTGTTGAAATGAGATCTCAACACATTGGATTATATATAATTAAAATTAATTTTTTTCTGTTTATTTTTTCTTTTTAATGTAGCTAGAAGAAAATTTAACATTACATATTTGGCTCATATTTGTAGCTTATATTTTGATTGGGCGGTGAAACTATAGAGAAAAAGAAATCCAATGATTGAGCTCTGGGAGCTCTTAGATTAAGATATTTGGAAGATGAGGAGAAACCAAAAACTAGATTGATATGGGGCAGCTAATGATGTGAGAAAGATACCAGGAGATGGCTGCACCCAGAAAGTCAAAAGAAGAAAATATCTCAAGGAGAAAGGAGTGACCTACCATGTCAAATTTTTTAATGAACTGTGATGCCTCAAAATTAGGGTTGAGGATTGATAATTGGATTAGCTGCATCAAGATTATTGCTATTTGGGTAATAGTAATTTCTGTGGAGCTATAGAGTGAGAGCCTAACTGAAATGTTTACGAGAGAATTAGAGGAAAGAGTTTGGAGGAAATTTTTAATATAGAAAACTCTTTGGAAGTGTATTACCATAAAGACAATAAATAAACAAAATAATAGTTGTGGGGTTAATGCAGTGCAATTGAGAGAAGCCTTTGTTAGAAGGGAGAAATAGCAGCATTTTTTTATGCTGACATGGATGATCCAGTAGAGAGGGATTATATGCATGAGGACTACTGCTTTGGTAATTTGCTGACTTGTCTACAGGTATTGAAACTGTAGCAAAATACAGATGAATATGTTCTGCTGATTTGCTCACAGAATATGTAAAGTCTAGGAGAGATTGTGACAAGCCATATCTGAGTGGAGAAGACTTGTTACTTAAGAGTAACGTTAGTCTGGAGGTGAGAGTTTGAGGTTCTCTCTTTAAAAATGCTAAGAGATGAGATATAGAAGGGAGGTAGTTTTTTAAAAATCAGAGCTTTTATGGGGAAATCTGTCTTTAATTCATAAACAATAAAATTTATCCTTGAGGAATTACAGAGTAGTGTGCCTTACAATATTATTTATTTATTTCATTAAGTAGCGAACTCTAAGTGAGGGAGGAAGAAGAGAGAACAATGGTTTCAACAATGATGAATGAAACTTCAGCTCTCTTTTACTTTGATGAGCATTCTTTGAAGGTTTTGCTTTCACTACTGATTGGAGTTAAATGAAGTAATTAATAATGAATATATTTTTACATTAAAGCCAACATGAAAACCATAGTTGCTTGAAGATGAAGGGGGAAAAAGCTGCATGCAAAATAAACTTTCAACTTTTGTATAAAGGAATTGGGTCCAGGTTTGCTTTTTCAATGGCTAAGCACTAAGTCACTAAGAATTCAAATCACTGTATGTGTCTGAATGCTTACTTTCAAGAGAAAGAAGTATTGTAATACACATTTTTCATTACTTAATTAATTTTAAGTTCAACATTTACTATTGAATACCATATGTCAAGTGCTGTGATACAAAAGTGAATAAAGACATTGTTCCTGCCTTTAAGAGTCTGATATATCAGCAGAAGGGTCATTCCTATAAATAAATAATAGAATAACAATAATATTGAGCATCTGTTATTTGTAAGGTGCAGTTCTCACAGCAACCATATAACATAGATAACAAATTTGATCAGTAGTGAAACTGATATTGTAACTAATCCACACTCACTCTGTTAATGATATGGCATAAGTAACATTTAACTCAATTTGGTTTAGTTCCAAAACTCACATTCTTTCCTCTATTGTGTATTCTTCTTGAGAAGCAAACAAAATACAAAAGATATATATTTATGATAGATTATTGAGTAATAAATTACTTCAAAATAGTGGCTTAAAGCAACATTTATTATTTCAGGTTTCTGTAGAGGTGGAGTCCGGGAATGACTTTATTGTGTCTTCTCACTCTGGTCCTTCACAGACTGCAGTCAAGTGTCAGCTGGAGCTGCGGTCATCTCAAGCCTCTACAGGAAGAAAGGCCATCTTCAGGCTTGCTCATGTGGTTGTTGGCAGGATTCAGTTTTTCTCTGGTAGCTGGACTGAGGGAATCAGTTCCTCATGAGCTGTTGGCCAGACACCTATCTTAGTACTTTGTCTCATACACCTCTCCGTACAGCATTTCACAGCATGATAACTTTCTTCATCAAAGCAAGGAAATGAGAGAGCAAGAATGGGTTAGCAAGATGGAAGCTAGAATCTTTCTTGTAAGCTGATGTTGGATATGACGTTCCATCACTTTGGCTGTATTCTATCCATTAGAAGCAAATAATTAAGTTCAGTTGACACTGAAATGGAGGAGATTACACAAGGGCATGAATACCAGGCATAAGGCATCATTCGAAACTATTTTAGAAGAGGCTACCACAAGCTGTATACAAAATATACTAGTTGCTCAGAGAAGTCTTTAAATCTAATAAATTTTAAATCTAAGTGGGAGTAAATAATCTAACAGATTTTAATAAAGTTGGAGTAAGAACTGAAAAGAAGCAAGAGGTATTTGAATTGTGGGATGGAGCTTGTATAGTAGTTATATTATATTGTGTTACGCGTCTTTTGTATGGATGGGGATATTTAAAACAAGAGAATAAAGACATTTCTGGAAGCTGGAAGAATATAGGAAAGCATGTTGAGTCATGAAGCTATGGAGACAAGTCATGGATAAAATTGTAGACAATAGATCTTAAATTTTGGAAAGGCTGAAAATCCATTTGAATAATTGATGAGAAACAATACTGTTCTCAAAGGAAAAGACCAAAAACAGTTTTTTTTTGGTTGGTTTTGTTTTGTTTTGTTTTTTACTTTTCTGAGACCCAAGTTAAAAAACAAACAAAAACCTTAAGGTTAATTGGGGCTGAGAAAAATTTTGAAGGGCATTCTTCCTAGGAAATTGGAATTTTATTCTACCAGATAATGATCAGTCTCTGAAGAAACTTTAAAAAGGAGAATAATTGAGGGTATTCACTAACAATGATTGCAGTGTCACTAACAGATTAGGGGGAAAGAGGCAGATTATTAAGCTATTGTAGTAATCCAGGCAATAAGATACAGATATCTGAATAGGGCAATGATGATTGGGTAGGGAAAAAGACTTATCTCTGGGACGTATAATCAATTGAACTTGACTAAATTAAAACTCAGATGGTATAGAATGGAGGATGATTTTATATTTCTGGTTTTAGAAACTGGATCATAACATTTTGAGAGATATGATACTTTTTGGATAAGAAAACAAAAAAATCATCAACATAAGTGTGTGTATATTAACAAATATATCAGTTTTCCTAGAAATAAAAGAGCAGATGTAATATTGAAGAAAAAAGATACGCTTGTGTGTGCTATTTGTACGTAACTGTTTAAATACATTTGCCTAGATTAAAAATACAAATCATGCTGCACAATGGAACATGGAGAAAATTAAAGTAGAATGGGACTGTCTACAACAAAAATTAGGTACAAAAATGCTGAGGATGCACAGTGATTCTATTAGAATATTGTAGACTAAATTAATTAATGGAATTGTACCTTTTAATTTAATTAATGAGGTTTGAGCCAGATAATGCTCTTTATTTTATTACTGAGTGAGTTGACTTATACAGGCTCAAAGAATATTTCAAATTACCTTAGGCTCAGGGTCACCACCCTTATTTCATTATTTGTTTCTTTTCCTCCTTCTCAAGTTTATAACTCAAAGTCCCTTTGGAAATCTCAATTAGCCTATGATGGACAAGAAGAATAGGAAGTTGTAGAGGTATAAATTGATTTTCTTCTCTTGGCAGTAACTTATGTGATTTTAAAAAACTCATGGCCATGAGGATAACCATAATTTCTAGGCGTTGGGAAACAGTAGCCCACCCTTCTGCCCTTCAGTCACCTTTTTTAATCTTGACAGATTTAGGAGTTGTAATTTAGACAGCAATATTTTGGTCCCTATATGTGATCATGACAAAATGCCATATGAATTCTGATATTCTATTATTTGAGCTTTGACTTGATGCTGACTTCAATTTCATTCGCTAAGAATGTTAGGGCCATTTGGCTGAACCATCAACAGTAAAACAAACATATGTTTACTAAGTTATTCTGTTATGGATACAGGAATGAATTTTACATATTTATAAACTATGGCCATTCTCTTCAAGGACTATAAACCTAGTAGAAGTCATAAAAGTATATAAATTACTATGTAGAAAGGAAAGTTATAAGTAAAACATTGCTAAAGTATTTTGAAGGTTGAGAAAAAGGGAAGATAATACCTATTTTAAGGAATCCAGAAATATGTCATTTAGCAGGTGGTACCTGAAACAATCTGGAAGTGACAGGTAGAAATTTTGAGAAGTAACGCTAAAGCAGAAGAAATAGGAGAAAACATAATCATAGAACTTAGGGATGTATCACTGTTTAGTAAAGTTTAATTAAAGAATAATGAAAGATGAGATTGGAAAGATGGAGTTGAATTAAAATTAGTTTATCCTGGCTGTGCTGTCATTAAAAATGACACAAAATATTTATTGATGTTTGTTGCAGAAACTGGGCAGCTGGTTACCAAACTTGGGTCCTTTTCTTCCCTTAGATAGATATTAATTGCATTTACAAGCATCACTTGCAGTTATGTATGGCTATATGATTACATTTTGTTAATGATGTGAAGTGAATTATCTCCAGAGTTGGCCCATATAAAACACTGAATGTAATCCTCCTTGTTCTTTCCCTTTCAGAACAAATTTGGAATATTCATATTATCTGATTTCAAGACTTACTACTAAGTTAAAATAATCAAAACATTGTGTAGTTGGTTAAAATATAAAACATAAATCAATGGAACAGAACAAATAGTCCAGAAATTGACCCAAACAAATAATAAACTGGTATTTGATGAAGGCACAAATGCAGTTTAGTGGAAAAAAAAGTATTTTCAATAAATGGTGTTAAAACAATTGGACATCCATACGCAAAACCATGGACCACAACACATACCTCACGTATTTTATAAAGGGTAAGCCAAAATGGATTTCAAGCCTAAATGTAAAATGTAAAATTCTAAAACTTATGGAAGAAATCGTAAGTTAACATCTTTATAATCTTGGGTTTGTGAGTTTTTGCATAAGACATCAGAAGCATAATGCAAAAGAGAAAACTTGATAAATTAGAGTTTATTAAAATTAAAACCTTTTGTTCTGTGAAAGGAACTATCATGACAATAAAAGGGTCAACCACAGAGCTGGAGAAAATATTTACAAATCACACTGACAAATAAATTGTGTTTAGAATTCTAAAATTATAAAAATCAAACAAAAAGAAAATAAACATATAAAATGAGCAAAATATCTGGATGCTGCAGCAAGGAAGATGTTTTGATAACACACAAGCATATGAAAAGATGCTCAACAAAATTAATCATTAGGGAAATGGGACTTAAAATCACATGAAATACTGGAATGTATTTATTAGCATAGCAAAAACAAAATCAGAAACAAAAACTAACAATACTAAGTGCTGGTGAGGATGTGGAGCAACTGGAACTATTTGCTGGTAAGAGCATGTGATGGTTAATATTGAGTGTCAACTTGATTGGATTGAAGGATGCAAAGTATTGATCCTGGGTGTGTCTGTGAAGGTGTTGCCAAAGGAGATTAACATTTGAGTCAGTGAACTAGGAAAGGCAGACCCACCCTCAATCTGGGTGGTCACAATTTAGTCAGCTGCCAGTGTGGCCAGAATAAAAGCAGGCAGAAGAACGTGAGAAGACTAGGCTGGCTTAGTCTCCCAGCCTGCATCTTTCTCCCATGCTGGATGCTTCCTGCTTTCGAACATTGGACTCAAAGTTTTTCAGCTTTAGGACTTGGACTGGCTTCCTTGCTCCTTAGCCTGCAGATGGCCTAGTGTGGGACCTCACCTTGTGATCGTGTGAGTCAATACTCCTTAATAAACTCCTCATTATATATACATCTATCCTATTTGTTCTGTCCCTCTAGAGAACCCTAACTAATACGGAGCATAAAATGGTGCAATTGCTTTGCAACATCGTTTAGCAATTTCTTGTAAAATTAAGCATATACTTGCCATATGACCCAACAATCCGTCTTCTAGGTATTTTCTCTAGAGAAATACAAATTTATAATTAAATATAAACTTGTTTCTGAATAGATGTCAGCTTTATTCTTTTTATTTATTTATTTATTTTTCTTATACTTTAAAAGTCAGCTTTATTCTTAACCATCAAACATCTGAAAAAAAATCATTTGTATTTCAATTTTTGAATGATTAAACAAATTGTAATACATCAATACAATGGATTTTACCCAGGAATATGAAGAAGAAAATATAGATTTATGAAATAATATGGACATATCTCAAATTAACTTTTCCAAGTGAAAGAACTTAAACCCCCAAAGGTACATGTTAAGTGATTCCATTTATATAACATTTTTGAAAATACAAAACTGTATTGATGAGACTATATCAGTGTTTTCCAGGGATTTGGAAAAGTGGAAGAGATTGGACCACAGAAGGAAAATTTAGGGGAATGAAACTATTCTATATTATGACTGTGGTGGTAAATACACAACTGTATGCATTTGCCAAAATTCATAGAACTGTATGTCATAAAGAGTGAATTTTATAGTATGTAAATTGAAAATTAATATTGAACAATTAAAAACATAAGGACACAAAACTCTGCAGTTTCAATTTTTCTGATACTAAAATATCTGATGTTTCTATAAAACCAATTCACTGATACTATTAATATATTATAATCAATAATAATTTCAGCAACAAAATGGATTGTTGGGAATATGCACTCATGTTTCCAGCATGGATCAATGAAATTATTACACAGAGGATATAGAAAATAGAGTGCTTTACTGGGAGTATGAAGACATGAGATTAGAGTCTTGTCCTGAAACTTAATCATCACGTGACCTTGAGCGAGATCCTCAAGCCTGCTTTACCACCTGTAAAATGGAACAATAGGATAGTTATTATGGATTTCTTGAGGACTAAAATTATCTATTTTACTTGAAGGATCTAGGATAGAGCTTAGCATACAAAACTTGTCAATCAATGTTTGGTGTACCCGAATCTGAGAGTGTTTACGGGTGATATAGTCTTATTCAGGATGATGAAGCTTATGAGAGACAGCCTCTCCTTGTAAAGTTAGATTAATCTATATTTCCTCATAACAGCACTTTTTTTTAAATAAAAAAAGACCTCTCCCAATAAAACCTTTTTGACTTTTCTTTCTATATTAGTCAGCTCTGGACACTGTATCAAAATACCATGGGCAGGATGGCTTAAAAAACCAACATTGATTTCTCACAATTCTAGAGGCTGGGAAGTCTAAGATCAAGGTGCTGGTAGATATGGTCCTTGGGGAGAGCTCTCTTTCTAACTTGTAGACAGCCATCATCTCTCAGAGTACTCACAATCTTTCCTCCATGTGTGCACATGGAGTGAGAGAGAGAAACAGACAGAGAGAGAATGTTCTTGTGTCTTTTCCTCTTCTTTTAAAGGCACTAATCACATTTTGAGTACACCATACTCAGGATATCTTCTAAACCTAATTATTTTCCAAATGCTTCACCTCCAAATACTATCACATTGGGGGTTAGGGCTTCAAAATATGAACTTTGTGGGAGATAAAAATCCCTATTGATTACCCTGATCTCTCATGCCTGTAATCCCAGCACGTTGGGAGGCCGAGGCAGGTGGATCACCTGAGATCAGGTGTTCGAGACCAGCATGGCCAACATGGTGAAACCCCGTCTGTACTAAAATTACAAAAAATTAGCCAGGCATGGTGGTGCGTGCCTCTAGTTGCAGCTACTCGGGAGGCTGAGGCAGGAGAATTGCTTGAATCTGGGAGGTGGCCATTGCAGTGAGCCAAGATCTTTCCATTGCACTCCAGCCTGGGCAACAGAGCGTGACTCCATCTCAAGAAAAAACAGACAAACAAACAAACAACAAAAAATTATCCTGATCTTTGACCACAAATACCTCCAGAAACAGTTTGAATTTGCATGACGACAAAAATAACAATAACAAAACAACAATATAACAACAGCAACAAAAACCAGGGAAAATTGTCATTCATTGGGTGTAGATTCAAACCCTCATCAGCTGTGTCACCTTAAGGAAATTAACTTTATTTACTTTAAGTTTCTTATTTTTAAAATAGACATAACAATATCTACATTAAAAATTTGCTTTGTGTATTAAATGAGAAATGACAAATTCAACAACATGCTTCAAATATATTGAAAAATAAAAGTAATTATATTATGATAATTGCTTTTTCATTAATTGTATTTTCATGTTCCAGAGTTTATTTATGTAATAATATGTTTTCCTAAAACATAAAAAATAATGTCAGAAAAATTTTTAGATAATACTTCTATATATTTTTATTTTTAACACTTGAAGTATTTTGAACAACTGCCTTTATCTTTTTTTTTAATTATACTTTAAGTTTTAGGGTACATGTGCACAATGTGCAGGTTTGTTACATATGTATACATGTGCCATGTTGGTGTGTTGCACCCATTAACTCATCATTTAACATTAGGTATATCTCCTAATGCTATCCCTCCCCACTTCCCCCACCCCACAACAGGCCCTGGTGTGAGATGTTCCCCTTCCTCTGTCCATGTGTTCTCATTGTTCAATTCCCACCTATGAGTGAGAACATGTGGTGTTTGTTTTTTTGTCCTTGTGATAGTTTGCTGAGAATGATGGTTTCCAGCTTCATCCACGTCCCTTCAAAGGACATGAACTCATCATTTTTTATGGCTGCGTAGTATTCCATGGTGTATATGTGCCACATTTTCTTAATCCAGTCTATCATTGTTGGACATTTGGGTTGGTTCCAAGTCTTTGCTATTGTGAATAGTGCCGCAATAAACATACGTGTGCATGTGTCTTTATAGCAGCATGTTTTATAATCCTTTGGGTATATACCCACTAATGGGATGGCTGGGTCAAATGGTATTTCTAGTTCTAGAACCCTGAGGAATTGCCACACTGACTTCCACGGTCCCACCAACAGTGGAAAAGTGTTCCTATTTCTCCACTCCTCTCCAGCACCTATTGTTTCTTGACTTTTTAATGATCGCCATTCTAACTGGTGTGAGATGGTATCTCATTGTGGTTTTGATTTGCATTTCTCTAATGGCCAGTGATGATGAGCATTTTTTCATGTGTCTTTTGGCTGCATAAATGTCTTCTTTTGAGAAGTGTCTGTTCATATCCTTTGCGCACTTGTTGATGGGGTTGTTTGTTTTTTTCTTGTACATTTGTTTGAGTTCATTGTAGATTCTGGATATTAGCCCTTTGTCAGATGAATAGATTGCAAAAATTTTCTCCCATTCTGTAGGTTGCCTGTTCACTCTGATGGTAGTTTCTTTTGCTGTGCAGAAGCTCTTTAGTTTAATGAGATCCCATTTGTCAATTTTGGCTTTTGTTGCCATTGCTTTTGGTGTTTTAGACATGAAGTCCTTGCCCATGCCTATGTCCTGAATGGTAATGCCTAGGTTTTCTTCTAGGGTTGTTATGGTTTTAGGTCTAACATTGAAGTCTTTAATCCATCTTGAATTAATTTTTGTATAAGGTGTAAGGAAGGGATCCAGTTTCAGCTTTCTACATATGGCTAGCCAGTTTTCCCAGCACCATTTATTAAATGGGGAATCCTTTCCCCATTTCTTGTTTTTCTCAGGTTTGTCAAAGATCAGATAGTTGTAGATATGTGGCAACTGCCTTTATCTTTAATCCTAGTAGTAAAAGGTGAGCTTGCCAATAGATAATAATTAGATAGTAGTATTGTTTATATGCATTTGGTGATGAAACTAGCTTTTTATTTGTGGAACAACCATAATAGTGTGAGTTTGGAATGCTGTATCCTTTGTAATAATAGCAATACTCTTATTTGTCTTCATATAGTATTGTAACTGGGCCTTTTACCATTACACTTATTTTAGCATAGTGGCTGATTATATTTTCGGAACAGTTTGGTGGTAATGTATACAGTATCAAACTTTAATATTCAAATGATACTCTGGTAACTTTATAAATACTAAACTGAACAAAGTAATAATGATATCTAAAAGAATAGCCAAGCTTTTTTAGTAAAGTTCTCTTATTTATCTTTCTCTTCCTCAGATCAATATCTATGCCTTTAAAATCTACTTCCTGGAAAAACACTTTATTATTAATTTCTGTGCATAATTCAATGGAGTCAATTCTGACACTTTAAAAAAATCTGACAGCAGGTGCTAAAATAGTTTTTAGGAAATAATATTACCAGATGTAGGAAAACCATAGTCATCACTTACTACCAGAAATTTTTCATTTTCCACATTTTAGAAAGGCATGAGATATCCAAATGAACTGGGAACCATGCAATTTTCAATTTATGAATTTGCTTCTCTCATTCATAGGTTCATAAATTTGTTTCACTCTCTAGAAACATGGAAACAGAAAATATGAAAAAAAAATTCTTTTTTAAAATTTTTAGTCCTGTACATTTGATTTCATAGAAAAGAAGGAACAAAGTAGTCAGAAAAAGAGAGATGGAGAGTGGGAGGGAGAATGAAAAAAGAAAGAAACCTAAATTAAAACTTTAACATCCAACTCTGAGTTGAATTTTGATTTAACCTACTAATACCTTGATTAAAACTAAAATGCCCATCACATATATGAATGTCTTTTGTTCCCAACAATTTACAGCATTTTATAGCCTATTTCATTGCATCATAAATGTCATAATAACCAAATGTTCCATGAAATGTCATAAAATGACGTGAATTACAGCTATCATCTAGGTCTACATCTGGAAAATCCAGTTTGTGGCTCAGGCTCAGGTTATGTGCTTTTCATGTTTCAAAATCTCTGTGTACTGTGACACTGAGTTAATTAATTTTACTTTATCATCCAAGTGTACTGTGATTCTCTCTCAAAAAGCAATTCATTAGCTTGGAGAGTACATACTTAACTGAATTAAGCATCTTCCAATCATGAGGCTGTTATTTCTTTAAATATCAGCTATTTAAAGATTCTTAAAACCTCATCTTAACAAGACTTTCTGGCATGCTAATTCTTTACAAATAATGTTTCATTTTCAATATTAGAACATGTGCTGCTCTGAGACTTATTAAGGGGTATGAAGTTTTATCATACTGTTCAAATTCAGTAACGAATGCCATGTACTTTGGCCACCCTATTCTCCCAATATGCTGTGCGTGCCAGAATGTAATTTGATGGTTTCTTAAATGTGAGTAAGGAAAAGGGGAAAGAATCATAATGATGCTCTTTACGCAACTGTGCTGCCTACGCTTGCATTACTAAACCTATTTTCACAAGTTGATGATACTCCTTAGCTTTGATTCAACTGGAAATTTAACCTGGTAGCTAAGAAGCAGTTTTTAAAATATTAGTTTTTGATATATATTAACATTTTAACATTTTGCTTCTCTTTTTTCTTAATCCAAACAGGAAAATGATGATGCAGCTTATGGACTGAGAATTAATGCATCTGTTAATTAATTCAATAAGTATTTATTGAACCTCTACAGAATCTGGGCATTGTGGCTTTGAGTATGAAATAAACACAGCAAATGTGGTTTCTTTCTCCTTCACAACACTTAACCGGGAGCTCAGAAAACAAACATATATTTATAAATCCATTTCTAAGTGTCTGACTTTGGTAAATTAGGGCATTTTCTACAGAATTTCATTTTCCAAATCTACACAGGAATAAAAATGTAAATATTTGAACCAGGCTTTTCAACTTTTAATGCTATTCTTACTCCTTTCTACCTTGTAAATTTTCCCTACTCTTTACCATTGAATAAATTACAGGGAAACTAACTTATTCCTTCCTTCCCTGTGGTGTACATCCTTGTGGACAACCAATATAATTGTAATAAAGAATACATTGCTACGCTTGGTTTTCAGTCTTACTCAGCACACTCCTGCTTGGAGAGAAGAGTAATGAGTAACTGAATAGTAATACATGTCCTGGGCCTCTGCAGGTGAAGTTTCATCATATAGAAATGTTAGATGGTGTGGAAAGATCAATGAATGCTACAATATATATGTCCTAGGCCTCTGCAACTATACTCCTACCTCTAGCTTCCTCAACAAAACATTTTTTCTTTTATTTCTTTCAACACCTAGTTAATTCACCACTTTCTCATCAATTCATAGCCTGACACATAATAGTCATTCAAAAACTTAACTAATTTTTTACAGAAATGTGGTGCATTCCATTTGGTACGCACTTTGGCCTTCAAGGGTTATGTTTTCTTGAAATAATTATTGTCCTCTACAGGGTGCAGGGCATGCTACCTCCAAATGTGGCACCTTGACATTTTTAAAAAATGGCAGAAGTAGGAAGGTTTATCTGACCTTCTCCTATTGTTCTCCTCTGACTCAGGCCATAGAAGAATTCTATGACCTTGCCCTAAAGGTTATAAGACCCTCATTGTAGAGGATTCCTCCCTGTACCTGGAGGAAATGAAAGAAGAGAGACACCAAGAAGATTCTGACCAAACAGGGTTTGCTAAGTTTCCCCAATTTTATTACCATTTTATCATATCATTTTGTCTTCTAATTGTACTTCTTCATGACAGCCCATAAAAATACAGTTTTCTCTGTTTCTTCAGGTCTTAATTTCTGAAGGCTTCCATGCCATGCAAAACTTAAATTGATCTGTATGCTTTTCACTTGTTAATCTGTCTTTCATTATAGGGGCCTCAGCCATAAACTTCGTGATGGGTAAGAAAAATATACTACTTTTTCTACTTTTTCTTCCCTATACTCATATGTAAAAAAAAAATCTAAAATGATTTTGTAAAAAATGTTTATGGTTAGACAAAAGAGCCCTAAAATAATCAGAGTTGTCATATTGGAGGCTTATGTGGTTGGACAATGAATTTTAAGGCAAATACAGGTTTTTAACTTGTTATAATGCCCAGAAGAGAAAATCCTGAAGCCCAACTCAGCAACAATAGTCGGGGTTTATATACGACAATTTATATATTTCATGGGAGAAATTACTACAGTGTTTGGGGCTCTTTATGATGTAGAAAAATATACTGAGAAAACTTCTCAACCACTGTTTCAAAAGTATTAAGTGCATATGTGAATAATTCACTTGATTTCAATCTCTACAAAATTAATCTAATCACCCAAGAAAAAGATTGGAAGAAAAATGTTTATTTAAGAATTGTGTAAAGTTCTGAAACTTCCCATCTGTGTCCATTTGCCTAAAATCTCTCTCTTATGCCAATACAATTTATAATTTCCTTTTCAGGATTTTTTTTAAAGCTTAAGATATCGTTAAAAATTCCTACATTTAGGAAAACTATGCAAACCTAAACGTGGAACTCCTTGTATTTTCCTAATTAGTAATTCCAATTGCAAGAAATTCTAATCCAGAAGCAAAACAAAATGAAATACAAAACCTTATAGAAATATTTAAGTGCTTGGAAGGAACATGTCGTATAATAATAAATGAGATATTTAGCCTCGCATGCTCAAGCCAAAGAGGAATATTTATATTATAGAGAGAGTAACATATTACTTAAAGGTTGTACACTTAATCGTGTTTCCTATATGGTTTGTTAGGTTCTAGTGTATCTTTTAATGAAATTTTATTTCATTTTTATTTCCTTATTTGGATATAAGGGTTCATCTCCAAAACATGAGTAACAAATATATGTGCATTCATTATCGTCTCACTCTATTTCATTTCCTTTGTTTTTGAAAAAGCAGAACATAGGTAGAGATTTTCAGGTTTTTGAAAACATTTTACACATTTAATGTGCAGAATTTGGTTGTCTTCTCTGTCTCAATGTTTTCTCTAGAAGGCTGTCATTTCTTAAAAGACAAAAATGAACATTTTAATGTTTAATATATGGTTGTATGCTGTGATATTTAAGAGCTGTGGAAACTGAGTGAATGCCAATTTGAAGAGCTGTTCAGTAAGCTGCAGAATTTCAACTTTGAACTGAAACACTATTGCTTATATAACACACTATAATCTCTTTTTGTTAAATCTTTGTCATTACATATTATTCTGTTCACTAGTCCTCATTATTTTCATCAGATTAGTGATTTTGTTGCCTTGCTGTGATTATTGAACTTGAGCTGACATAGATTGACTGCCTATATGGTACAGTGGGCTAACTTGCTGTTTGAATTTAGACAAGGCTTCTCTTCCATCTGAATTACATAAAAGAATCATTTTGCATGTAGGAATAATAGCATAACAAACTAGCTAAAACAGAAAAACAGTCCATAGGAATTTAAGAAATAGTATCCAATTAACAATATTGTTATTAAACAACTTTGTTTATCTTATCTTAGAGTAGAGGGATCATTTATTATTTGGGAAGAATTTACACAGAGTTTGAATTGTTAAAATAAAATAAAAGTCCTGAGAATTCACCAAGCAGAGCAAGCCAGTTAGGCCCCACAAGCAAAAGTTAATCTTTCTTGATTTGTGAATGTAAATAAAACTAAACAGGCTATTTCTTGTGAATGCCTCTGATAATCAAAAGTAAAACTAAGTCACCTTCCAAAAATGGTAAAAATAATTCCTATTAATTGATCCCCTCCTATCGGGAAATCCCATTGCAATACCAAAGACTGCACAGGTTAAAAAAACTCCCTAATTTTCACTATGTAAGCCAGCCTGTAACATCCCTCCTCTGAGCTTCTAACCCATTACTTTGAGTTTAGTCTGTTGGATCACGATCTGCACTTCCTCTTTGTGTGAGAATAAACATTAACATTTCCTTTGCTAATTTGATTTGATTTATATTTTTGACAGTTTGAAGAAAGATTTTTTTTTCATTTTTGCGTGGTCAGATCCAAAAAATTATCCAACTGTATTACCTTAATTGATAGAAGATATGTTCATCTAAGATCTGCTACATGGCAAAGTCTGTGCTAAGTATTAGATGTGCAGAGGGGCAGGACTAGTCCCTAAGCTGAAAACATTTACAGTTGAGGTTGATTCCTGACAATAGTAGGCAGACTTTATTCATAGAAACCATCACGATAGCTATAGGGACTACTGCTGTGGGATTTTGTAGTAGGGGAGGGAGATTGTGCTCAACTCCAAATACAACAAGGAAAAGTGGGAATTTATACCCAGGGAGCCAAATGGGGAATTGTGGATGGAAAATTACTAAGAGAAAACATCAGGGTTAAAGAAGAATTATAGCTAAAACCAGCTTAACCAGATTCTTGCTGAAGGCAGGCCAGTGTGATCAGACATTCCCTGGGGAATGGTGGAGGAAGAAGAACCTGATCAGATATTGAAGATGATCTGATATTAAGGTTGGGGGATCCTGGATAAACTAACTTAGTAGAATTCTTGCTAAAATTGGGTTCTTGAAGGATATACCCCAGGACAGGGCCTAGTCGGGCTCAGAGGAAACTGAGGGTCAAGAAAAGAGTTTTTGTCAGGGAATCACAAGTTAAAAAAAAAATTAAAATGCAACATAGAAACTAAATTTCACCAACCCTTCAAGGAAGCTAAAACTCTTATTTTATTTTAAAGTTTCTAGATATTTCCACTAGTTCTATGAGGTAAGCAAAACCAAAACAACAAAATTAATGCAAATAAGTAACACCTTGCAAATATAGCTTAACACTGTATTAAGAGAAAAACAACTCATGAAGTAGTCTTACGACTTCAAAGATTAGCTGATGTCAGGAAATCTAATATTGTAATTTATTACATTAACAGATTAAAGAGGAAATTAAATGTTATTAAAGTGATAGATATCCAACATTATGTTATGAATTATAATACACATTACCAAAAATAAATCTTTCTGTAGATAAAGAAAGGGATACTGAGCACTTAGCAGAAAACTATCGCAAAATCCTATCTTCTGGTGATATATAAAGAGCTTTCTTATTGCAGTCAGGAACAATACATTCATGGCTACTTTCACGTTTTCAGTGTTGTGCTATATAATATGTCTAAACTTAAATTAGCATAGTTGATAAATTAACATTTCCCAAAGTTGTTATTTAAACCTCTATCTTCCTTTAATAACCCATTATGTATTCCTAACCTTTGCATTCTTAGATTTATTTTGAGCTCCTTTATAGTTATTTATGATTAGATTGAATTATTTACAAAAAAGCAAAAAACAAAAACCTCAAAGGCACTCAAACAGTACTGCAGAAAGCTGTGTTTCAACATCTCTTAGCTCTGTTTTTATGTGTGTGATTTTATTTTTCATACAGAATGACACAGATGGCCAATAGCATCTCCAAGGTCATATTCTACCAGCTAAGTGACCCCGATGAGAGCTAGTGTTTCTTTCTCAACAATTATCACAATAAAAGCCTCCTTTAATTCCAGGTCATCTACCCACCCCAAACTAATTACTATAGGGTAGGAAATGAAATGACCCGCTTGTCCAGGCCTGGTTCACATGCCCAAATTTTGAGGAGGCATGGGGTTGGACTTTTCTGAATTGCATTGGCTCAACGTGACTGAAATTGTAGAGGAGTTCCTTAAAAGAAAATCAGGATGATGTTATTAGAAGAGGTAGAAACAGAAGCTAGCTGGGAAATAGATCAGAAAGTTGGGGATTACAGAGACAATCAGGATACTGAGAATCTGAGAAGGATCAGAAAAAATTAAAGGGTGAGAGATGGATTCCAGTGGGATTTCTAAGAACTAGTCCAAGAATAGGTTAAAAGTACATACTCCAGATCCCCACACAAGATCTACTTGAATCAGGTGCCCTAGACATGTGCCCTGTCAAGGTGCATTTTAAAATAAGAAAACAGTGATTCTTCACACACTAGAGTTTAAGAAGCACTGGATAAAATTATAACCATGGGAAGGCATGAAGTTACCACTAATTCAATGTATACAGTTTCTCTGAGCTGTGAATTTATATAATTTTTATGTTGTTTTTTATCTGGAGAAAAAAAATAACTAGACCATAAAATGAACATCTATCACATAATGCTGAGGTTTAAAAAGAAATACAGGTATTTTTACTAGTTCATTTGTATGTAAAGGAAGAAGGACCAAAATCTATTCAAGATAAGTAAAAGACCTCTTGGTGATTTTCTTTCAGCCCCCAACCTCTCAGATGTTCTCCACATGGTAACTTGGAGCAGATGAATTGAGTTATTGACAATTCAATTTCAAGTTTTCACACCTGAAAACTTGAAAATGAATACTCATGAGTGCCATTGAACAAGAATAAATTGCAGAGTTCTGCTTTGACATAGATTTTCTTACTCTGCTTAGACTAGAGCTATGTGTTTAGTGTTCCCTCAATGTCAAGTGTGTTGCAAATCCTATATGTTGCCTGGCAAAAAGAGCTCTTCTCTGTTTATTGCAAAGTCTGTTGAGATTTAGCCACCAGGTGTCAGTAAGTCTTGCGAAACAATAGGGTTTTACAAAGTCCAGTGATTTTGTTCATTTGGTCCTGAAGTAAATTAATATAGTATTTTGCTATGTTGGGTTTTTTTTTTTTTGGTGGTTATTGTTCCAGAAAAATGAATGCAATTCATTTATAGACCCATCTTTTTTTTTTCTTTTTCTGTATGACACTACACTTATAGAATATGGGCTGGTTTTTAATTTTTGAGAATTGAGTACCTCCAGATTCATAGTGAAAGGCATGAAGGAAAAGGGTGCATCTGAGACAGGTGATAACCTGGCAGGGTACCTTGCCAATTACATGTAAACTACCATGCTAAGTCAATTAATGAGAAAGAAGTAGGAAAGATAACACCCTTAGACAATTTATATTACCAAAACCAATATTCTGGGGCTATTTTGAACTTTAAATAAAATAGAGTCATTTTCTTACTGATCATCTAACCATTTGTATTAGTTTTCCCACTTATTAATACTGTCATCCTTGTCATTATTTTTTTCTGTGTGATTACTGCTTATAAGACTTAAACATAAATCCATTTAACCCTTGCACCGAGCTACCTGAATACCTGAATTTATTTTTTCTATTTTGCATAAACCTTGCCTTAAAACTTGAAATTAAACCTGTCATAGCATGTCCATGATATCATCACCAAAACATATTTTATTGTTGATTGTTCTGGGTACTAGAAGAAGTTTTTTGTGCTCTGGTAAATTTTTTGGTTTAATTTCACTTCACTGTGTTTCCTCCAAGGCAGATAATTTCAAGGGCTTGGTATACCAGCCTATTTAGTTAAAGTCTGAGCAAGGTCACAAACTCTGTTGACTCATATGGCAGTTCTTGTGTAGAGCACAAAATTCTACATCATCTTTGAATCAAATCCAATAGAGCAAGATCCCA
This sequence comes from Homo sapiens, assembly GCF_000001405.40. Lineage (NCBI taxonomy): Eukaryota > Metazoa > Chordata > Mammalia > Primates > Hominidae > Homo > Homo sapiens. The sequence goes on along the minus strand of NC_000004.12, from coordinate 97,152,318 downwards.
GCTGTCCTGGTATCTGTTAAAAACATAAGACTGACCTAGTTTAAACTGGTTCTCAGCATCATTTTGGAGAGCATTTAGTTTTTCAAGATTGCAAGGATAATGCAAGTTTACTTTAGAAAATTTGAAAAACACCAAGGTGAAAAAGAGACAAAAGCTATTAATATTTTGACCTACAGTTCTCAAGACTTTGTTATTTTACTTGTTTCAGTGTTCACAATTTTTAAAAGGAAGAAGGAATGGGTAGTGCTAATTTTGAATCAGAAATTACCTATTTCTGAATAAACTGAAACACTTTATAGATCCTATGTTTCCAGGATAATAAATGGTAAGTTACAATGGCCAGATTGCATTGCTCCTATGCCTTGGCAAGGTTCAGTCCCTTACAGCTATGGCCAGACATAAAGCTCTAATGCACTTCTTTTTTCCTCTGTGAAATGCAACACATCTCTAAAAATTGATGTGGGAAAGAATTATTGTATAAAGAGAGATAAGAGATAGTGAGAAAGCTTAAAACAGCCTTGAATGCTTTATAAACCAGGTTCAGTATTATAAGGGAGTGGCTTATTTCCTTCTGTCCACAAAAATGTCTGAATTTGTTAGAGACTTGGGGTGAGTGAGTACAGTACTGGTGAGTGAAGAGAAACATATCATGGTTTTTCTTTGTGTGCACCTGCTATCTCGCCCCAGGGCTTCATCAGAACTTCGGTTAGTGAACGTTTTATTGGTATTTGCCAGACTTAAAATAAAACAGTTTTAACTTCCAGTGCATAGCAGCAATGCAATCTGGCCATTGTAACTTACCATTTATTATCCTGGAAACATAGGATCTATAAAGTGTTTCAGTTTATTCAGAAATAGGTAATTTCTGATTCAAAATTAGCACTACCCATTCCTTCTTCCTTTTAAAAATTGTGAACACTGAAACAAGTAAAATAACAAAGTCTTGAGAACTGTGGGTCAAAATATTAATAGCTTTTGTCTCTTTTTCACCTTGGTGTTTTTCAAATTTTCTAAAATAAACTTGGAAATTTTTCCATATCGCCTTTTCTTTTGTGTTGTGTTTCAATGTGTGTGTGAAGAGAGGTGAATCAGACATCCCTAACTTTCTGTCATTTAATTCAGGTGGCTGTCATCATCGCCACTATGAATGTTCTCATTCTGAGTCATTAGTGGGCATTTTTCCATTTAGGGCTTTTCAGTATGTCAGTAAGATGTATTTCCAATGCCAAATACAGTGCCCAGGAGAGAGTAGGTTCTTACAAAATATGAAAAGTGTCAATAAATTAAATTTTTAGGATATCTATCAATAGGTATTAATGACACAAAGCAAAACTTATTTTTCATTTTTGTCACATTTCATCAATTTAGTTGGGACATTTGGTGGATATAGTCTAGGGCAGGCATTGTTAATATACATGAATGGCGGGGGCATGCACACATTTAAATGATAAGTATCAGACAGAATCATAATAAGATAATATTGGACATTTAGATACAACATAAACACAGTTTCATTATGGACAATGACTAATAAAAGAACTAGTGGAGTTCAATGTTTTGTATAAGTGGATGAGTGGAACCCCAGTTAACAAAAAGTGATATTGTCAAAAAGGAAAGCATACTTTGATAGTGTGTAGGAGAGAAATTGGATCACAAATTGAACTTTGGTTATATTCAAACTGTGAAGTTGGAACATGACCTAAGAATATCACTAGATTTATCACTTTTGATGGTTTTCAGATTGCTTAGGCAGCCAGGATGCCCTTTTAAACTCTCCATCTGACTGACTGTCTGCATCCTTTCCTACAGTGCACAGGACTCTGCAACAGTGATCCCTACATTTATCATGTTCAGATGTGTCTATTTCAATGTGTTTTTCTGAAACGAAAGCAGAAAACCATGTGGAGATTGCAGCTGGTACCAAATGCAGTACCTCACCTCATGGTATAAGACAATCTTCAAGAGAACATTACTCAGACTCCCAACTACACAGAGTGGAAACATCCCCCAGGGAGGGTTGTCTAGCTCATGGCATGAATAATCTAGTTGAAGATTTTTCCAAAGTGATATGGAACTTCCAAAAATCCCCACAGATACCTTTAAATATTACACAAAGTGCACAGGTCACTTTTAAGATAACTTGTATCTTACCAGGACATTTCATTAATAACAATGTCTAGATTTGAAATAGTTAAGAAATAATCAGTTTTTATATTAACATCTTCCTTGGCTGTAGGCATAAGTCTTTTCTATCCTAATGTGCTTTGGTTCTAATATGGATTTGTGATTTTGGCTTCACAGAATGAGAACATAGAAAATTTGGCTTACTCTTTTATTCATTGGTTCAATAAATATTTACTGAGCACCTCCACCTTTAAATAAGTTTACAAGACCCTGTGGGAGATACAAAAATGTTTAATACACAAAAATAAGTAGATCATCTAGGAGCTTATAGGCTAGGACAGATAATAAGAAAGTCACATAAATATCTATGATACAAGAGATGAAGCAGTAAGCTACCTGGGAAAGGTGTAAATTATTCATTCTCAGTTGTGCTAGAGGGGGTGGTGAAACTTTCTGAAGACTTTTCTTGTAAAGTCATACCTTGAATTACTTAAAATGTGATAAATTTGAAATCAAGCCAAGAATTAGTTGAAGTTGAAACCAGTAAACAGAAACAGAAACAGTAGTGAGGCATATATGCTTATATTTAATTGACAAAAGTACAGTGATTGAAAACCTGTCAACCATGATGATATAAATGGCTGACTCAATCACCTGAGTGACTGATGCAGTATTCAATGAAGAGTATTGTTATTAAGGTAACTGGAACAAATATTGGCTATAAATGAAGTTTCTGTCTGGGAATGCTCTGCCTCAAACTTATGTAGCAGGTAGGAATCTTTGTTTCCATAGAAGTTTATTTTCTATAACTCAAATAAATTTTTGCCAGTATGGCAGAAACATAATTTTATTCAAGATAGAACCAATCCCTTTCTTTTTCCTAAGATGATATTAAGTTTTGGGAAATGTTATAAAAGTCATTGGAGGGACTCACTGGGGCCTCAATGTCTTCTTTTTATATGAGTAAGATCCACTGTTTTGTCTGGACTGTTTACCAATCCATATACCACTAAGTTGCCACTTCGGCATCTCTTGTTCCTCCTTGACTCCTCAGGTGGTTCTGTTTCCTCTATGCTCCAGTCATATTCATAGGCACAACTGTCACGCTGCTCTTTCCATGTAAAGAAGAGCACAGAAATCCCTGGAAGGCTGAGGGTCTGCTTCTCCACTTCTTTGGTACTGTTTGTGAAGAAAGGCTCAGACTCTTTTTTCTGGGAGGGAACCGCCCATTTTAATATGTTGTCCTCATCATGTCCCGTATCTCCCTTGTCTCTTTTCCAAGAGACATTTTTCCATTTGGGGTAAGAGCAGAGATTGCCCTCTTTAATCTACCCCCACACCCCCTGTTTTTGGACGCAGGGTCTCTCTTTGTCGTCCAGGTTGGAGTGCAGTGGTGCCATCTCGGCTCACTGCAACCTCCGCCTCCTGGGTTCAAGCCATTCTCGTGCCTCAACCTCTGAAGTAGCTAGGTCCACAGGTGTGCACCATCAAGCCCAGATAATTTTTGTATTTTTAATAGAGACGGGGTTTCACCACATTGGTTAGGTTGGTCGTGAACTCCTGGCCTCAAGTGATCTGCCAGCCTCAGCCTCCCAAAGTGCTGGGATTAAAGGCATGAACCACCATGCCTGGCCTAGTGTACCCCTCTTAAATACTTATTGTATACATAATATTTTTTCATTTACTAAGGGAACTAGGCTCTTGGAAGGCAACAGGCAGAACAAGTCTCTTTTCTACCTTTTCCATCACTCCCATGAGATACTGTATTGAGTAAGAAAAAGTCTAACTTCTCGAAATGGGGAATAAAGCAAAGTAAAGGGGAGAATATTCAAGAAAAATTCACAATGGATAATATGTCAAACATTTGTATTTCTACATTTTTGTATATTATCATGACCTTATGATTTTTTGTTCAAATAAAAATCAAATGTACAATAAATGAAGCTATATAAACTGAATAGTTTATATCATAATATATATTTATTATTTCAAAATAAATCCATAAATGAACATTTATGGCATTCTTTCTAGGTGTTCAGGATGCAAAAACAAATTTATTTTAGGTATTTATGACCTACTTTAGAATAAGAACACATAAATATGTGTATAAAAGTATTATAGATTATGAAAATATGTAGAAAGTTGACAATGGCTGAAGTCTAGAAGTGCTCATTTCTGTTTGGATGGGGAGGGGTTAGGATGTCTTGTTGAAAGATGGCCAAATATCCTTTTCCTGGTCAGAGCAGTGAAGCTCTTCTAGGGAGAGCAACCAGAAATAGAAAAGACACGGTGACGTGGCATAACCAGGTCGGATGTTGATTGGCATGAGGGAACTTCACAAACACAAGACATCTAAGCAGTTTGAAAAAGAACGGCACAGGGTGGGCTATGTTAGGAGAAATATGACTGAAGGCAGAGAATTCTGAAGGTCCCTGTGTCATTCCTCAGGACTCTGTATGTCATTTTGAAAAACTGGAACTTTAGTCAAAAGGTATTGAGAAACTATAGATGGTTTTAGGGGTGGTGGGTTGATAAGCGTGAACTCAATCTTAGGAATATCACACTGACATGAACTGTGGAGGAAAGATGTGAGGGAAGCACAAAAGCAGGGAGACAAATTTGGAGACTATTTCAGAAGCAGAGGCAAGCCACATTTAAAAGGAATCTGAAATAGTGACGGGATAGCAGTGGATTCACAGTGTAGTAAGGAGACTTAACCAACAGGTCCTTGATTCCAATGCCTAGAGTAGTGGCTAAAGAAGTCAAACCCTAGAATGACTATATTTTTGGCTTGAGTCTCTGGTTTATAGTGGCATATTTGACAAAAATAGATAATTAAAAAGGAAGAAAATCTATTTGGTGAGAAAATAAACCAGTGTATAAATGAAGTATAGATTAATAATGTGAATTTGACCTTTTTAATGCTGAGGATGTTGACTTTTTCATATGTTTATAGTTAATGAAGGTTTTGAAATGGTAAATTTAGAGCACAAGCTGACCATACATACTTTTCTCAGTGATCTGCTGTGGATAATTTAAGTATTTTATGTTAAAATTCTAACTGACCATTGGAGATTATAGATCTGGTCCAATCTAAGTATCTAGTATCACTATTCTCTTCACCTGTGACATAATACACTGTGAATATTTTGTGTAAATTGAAGTGCACGATTTTGAATCTACTACACTTTCTCTGCTTTTAAAAATGTTAGCTTTCTAAAAGGCTTTATTTCAGCTGAGAATTAGCCTGTGTCATGTTCTGAATTGTATTCTTCATATAATGCTCCATTAATATTAAACCAAAGCCACCACCACCACCAACAACAACACCAACACCAACACCAACAACAAAACCTTGCGAGATAAGTCAGTAAAATCTTTGGGGGATGCAATTATGTTTATTCATAAAATAGTTGCTGCCCTTTATGATATTTTTAAATTAATGGAAATTAATAATAACCCACAAACTAAACAGGAACTATTGATCAGTGAAATCTTTTTAGTAAATGGAATAGTTTTTAAAATCTCACAGATGAAAAGTTAGCCATAGCATTTATGAAAGTTGTTCTGACTCTAGACCTGTTAAAGGATGGAGTAGGGAATAGTTACATGTGAATTTAGTGTCAGTTTGCTTAACTGCCGCTTTAAATATCAGGGCAAATTTTATTTTCTGGTAAAGACAAAGTGTGCTGCTTTTTGTACTCCTTTATTTTTATTTCGCTGTCTCTTCATCTTATAATTCTTTCTTGTGTTTTTCCTTTCTGATGCTTCTCACTGTCCAGCGATCTTTGCCATAAGTGAAATCAATTGATGCTTTTATTTATTCCTTTTATTCTACAACATTTGCTGAGCCAGTGAGTAAAGGAGAGAAAACAAATATAATTTGATTATAAATTACAAGGACTCTGATAAGAAAACAGAAGTAATAACCTAGTACTGGTTATTGCCACTTGACTATTGGCTTGTATTTTATTTTTCTTTTATTGTTGTTATTCTAACCAAAACAATGAAATTAGACTGATGATAATGTATTTCTACTTTTCATGAGTGTGTTACGTGTGGTGTGAGTCAGTGAGAAAGTAACTGCTTCCAATGGACGGTCTTGAGAGGATGGTCCAGTGAAGAAAACGATATGATAAAGCCATGCAAGGGGACTGCAGGTCATCATGAGTAAGGCTACCAACTGTGGATCTGATGATTCCAGGAAAGCAGCCCAAACTAGTTGACTTCCCCTTTTGAGAACTAGCCATGATCTAGAAAGGACATGATATATCCAGTTCCAGAAAGAATACTCAGGCTATAATAGTATCACAACTTGAACAAGAGATAGAAGATAAGGAGAAAACAGTGTATTGGTGCCAATATGTCACTAATATACTGCCGCTCTAGCCAATATATATGCCCTACTACCAGCTGAATTTGTCATCTATTTCTGCACAGCAAATTACAATAAATTTGGTGACTAAAAATAGTACTTTTTTTTTAATCTCATAGTTTCTGTTGTGTCAGGAATCCAGACATGGTTAGTTAGGTCCTCTGCTTTAGGACCTATCACGAGGGTACAATCAAAGAGTTAGTAGGGCAGGACAATCATCTGACAATTAAGGAGGGAAGGATCCACTTTTGGCGGGATTCAGTTTCTTGTTGGCTACTGGACTGGGAGTCTCAGACCCTTGATGAATGTTGGTCAGAGGCCATTTTCAGTTTCTTGTCATGTGGGCCTTTCCAATGGCAAGCTTACTTCATCCAAACCCACAAAGGAGCGAGTCAATAGGCTCCTAGCCAGATGGAAACTGCAATCTTATGTAATGTAATCATGAAAGCAACACTCCAGCCCTTTGCCATATTTTATTGGTTAAAAGCAAGTAACGGGTCCCTTCCACACTCAAGGTGAAAGGGTTACACAAGGCCATTAATGCAAAGAAGTAGAGATAATTTGGAGTCATTTTGGTGTCTGTCTTCCACACTAATATTTAAATTTTTCATTAAAGTATTGCAGATACACAGCAGAGTTGAAGAGACATTAATGATATGGCTGAAAGCATAGACTTTAGTGGCAACCTGAGTTCAAATTCCGGGTCTACTACTAACTAGCTCTCCACTGCACATTGAGTTGTCATTTAATTTATTTGTGCCTCAATTTCTCTACCTATAAAATAGGAAAAATAATCATACTCACCTCAAGGTTGTTTTGAGGAATAAATGAGTTCATATGTTTAAGCAGCATGGCAGCCCCATTAAGTGTTTATGACATTTTTTAGATAATATGGCAAACACAGATGTACTCATCACTTATCCAGCCCTTGGAAGAGGCACGCTTAAGGGCATGTTTGAGTCTGCAGAGAGGACATAGAGATGCAGAATCATGACTTCACAGAGAGAGGCCAACTTACAGACCTGCCTCTAGAAGGCAGGCCTGGACCCTGGCTTTCCTCGTGAAGGACAGAGTTTGCAGGGAATTGTTACCATTTTCGGAGCTCTTAGGCCAAAACAAGGATGCAGAAGAGAGTAAAACCGACATACTCTTCTATTCTTCTCAGGTAAATGGATTAGAATTCTCATGCTGTGTTTCCCTTCTGAGAAGTGGAAATTCTCACCTTTCTGTGGGACCTCCAAGAACAGGAATAATGTGTTGCCTTCGGTTTGGCCCCAACACTTGCCATGCCCTGAAGGCACTGCACAAATCTGGCCCCAGCTCCTCTCTATCCTCACTTCAATACCTCTCTTACCTTAATTGCTTTCACCAGCAACTGCTCTCACTTCTGTTTCCCAAAGAGGCCAAGATCTTTCTTGCCTCAGGGGCCTTGCAGATGTTTTTCTGACTGAAATACTTTGCCCACACTTCTTCTCATTGTCATGCATTGGTCTCAATTTCAATGCTAACTCCTGATGGAGAACTCTGTTGACAGATTTAATCCTTCCAGAAAGCTGTCTAGCACATTGCTCTTTCTTCCCTAGATTTTATATGCTCCCATTATTAGAATGTAAGATACATGAGTGTCAAGCTCTTTTCTATTTTTTTCTTTAGTATTGACAACACCTAACATAATCTCTAGTAATAAATGTTTGTTGAATTAATTCATGCATGAAGGAATGAAACAGATCCAAATGTATGATTGTCAAACTCAACATATCTCTACAAAGGGGAGAAAAAACACTTTTAAAAAATTAATATAAATTTGAAGGGAGCAAGTGCAGCTTTGTTACTTGGACCCAGTGTGTAGTTGTGAAGTGTAGGCTTTCAGGGTAACCATCGCCTACATAATTAATACACTGGATCCATTAAAATACAGTTAATCGTTTTTTCCTCTAACAATGATCTAATGTTGTATCTTATTCTTCTTAGGGAAAGCATTTTAATAAGTCATAAGCTAGTTAAATTAGTAATATTATTCGGGAGCTTAGAAACAATTTGTCAATTCTCACAACCAGTTCATATATTAACCAAGAAGCTGAATTTAACAGCTATGAATTATGTGCTGATTGGCTTTGAAATAACATATTGTTTGATCTGATTATTTTCCTCTGGAATATCTGTTGGAGTAGCACATTCCACATGTTCAGCATGGACTGCCAATAAAGTTACATTCCCAACATCATAGGAAAATTTTCTCAATACACTGTTCAATAAAAAGAGGAATATAAGAATTCTATACATTGTGTAAACTCACTTTTTTAAGAAAGATAGGTTCTTCGAAAATATAACCAACTGGTAAAACTGATGACATCTATGGGGTGTTGGGCTTGTGTGTGATTTTAATTTTATTTAATCTGCTTCTATGGTTTTTCACAATATTTCTTCTTCAAATCATTTTTATAAGATAATTTTCTAATGCAACTACAGAAATAATCACTATGTGTGAACATAATGGTTGAAATATTTGAGACCAGTGTGGATTTAAGTATTAACGTCCTTTTAAAATGAAGAGGGGATATGAAGCAGCTACATTAATTACACCCCTAGGACATGGACAAATGGACTAACAACGGTTAAATAAAGTTTGGACAGGAATCTCAATGAAGTGTTTTAAGTAGTGGGTGGTTCCTGTGTAAAAACACCCTGCCAAGAGGAGCAGTGGAGCAGTCCCCTGGTGCCACTTCAGGAGAACGGAAAGAGCACTTAACAGAAGAGACCCCTGAGGACTCTTATTATATTAATGGATAAACTCACTACAGAAGTCAGGTGGGAAGTTGTGAAGACTCTGCTAAGTCTGTGGTGCTTGATATAGCTGTGTTTAGACATGACACATTTTCTAGGGACATGTAGACAAAGTGTACAGGATTGCAGGATTCAGCGGATAATTGTTATTTTTTAAAGACTCATCTATTCCAAAGACTCAGTCCCACACATTAATTCAAAAGTATTTCTGAGCCTTACTATTTATTAACTAGTTCTCTAATATGCAGCACAATGGAAGAAAAAAAGTCTTTTTTTTTATAGCTCATTCATTTTTACGTTTCTTTCTCTGTCCTACTCCTTCTCTATTAAACACAAAGATTCCTTCAATTTTATATGGCTGTAAAAACCAGCAGGCTTCTCTCTTAATCAGTGTTGTCTAGGTTCATTGCCTGAGGGCCCAGGTCATTAGTAATAAAGGTCATTAGTTGATGTTTCCAGCGTACAGTGACTGTCAAATGATCCCCTCATTTTATCTCCCAATGATTAGAAACAGGCCCAAGGTTGTAGTACTTAGTAATTTTATTTTCTTGTTGTGGGAGAGGTAGCAACCTACTTCTTGGAAACAAAAGCTTTTAAAAACTAATAGAAGCTTCACAATAGACTTGAAGGAATAAGACACCATATAAAGGCACTCAAGACCAAAACAAGGGAGAAAATGCAAGAAATTGGTATGTGCTGCTCTTGCACCTCAGGTTTCTTCAAGGAGCTGAACTAAACGAGAAAGGAATAGTTCTATCTAGCCATAGGCAGCCCTAACTTGCCTTCCCTGGTTACCTTACATCTTTGCACTGTCTGATTTCCAGCATTCTAATTGAAAAGGCACTTTGTAGCGAAAAGCTCTGTTTGAGTCACTTTGAAATCATGATCCGCAGGTTTTCTTTCTGGCAAATGTTTCTTAGAGATCACTGAGCTTATTAAACTGTTCTGTGTTCAGAAGCTTCGAAAGTTGAAACAGTCATAATCCAGACACTTTGTTATAGAAAAAAATAGCAGTCAATTCTCCTTGAACTCTTTGGAAAGGGGCTGTGTGCTGGTCTTTCTCTCATGCCATGTATGTTTGGGACCTCAATGCTGTAAATGCAGAAAGCACCTGGTAAATATACATGGTGTCAAATAATAATTATACAGACCAATCTCTGTTCTTCAATGGGAATTATTTTCTCCATGCCACCAAAGAAGAATGGAAACGTATAAAGTATTAGAAATTTTGTAAAGGAGGAAAAATGGTTACATTGGTCTAAAATTTAAATAATCTTTAGATATATAAAGCATTTATAAAGTTTTGACACTTAATAAAATTTTTCACGATTCATTTTCAAATGTTGAAAATAAGATTAATGAATATAATTATAGGTTTGTGTCAGGCCTCTGAGCCCAAGCCTGCACTACACATCCAGATGTCCTGAAGCAAGTGAAGAATCACAAAAGAAGTGAAAATGGCCAGTTCCTGCCTTAACTGATGACATTATCTTGCGAAATTCCTTCTCCTGGCTCTGAAGCTCCCCCACTGAGCACCTTGTGACCTCTGTCCCTGCCCACCAGAGAACAATCCCTTTTGGCTGTAATTTTCCTCTACCTACCCAAATCCTATAAAATGGCCCCACCTCTATCTCCCTTTGCCGACTCTTTTCGGACTCAGCCCGCCTGCACCCAGGTGAAATAAACAGCCTTGCTGCTCACACAAAACCTGTTTGGTGGTCTCTTCACATGGACGCGCGTGAGTTTGTTTCTCTAGTATTTCAATCTATTCCTCACCATTATGTTATGCAATGAGTACTGTCACATAATAATTTTCCTAAGAAATTGATTTTTAATGAAAAGTCTTTGTTTCCACAGTTCTCTTTCAGTAAACAAAAATTGCCTGTTTTATTTTTTTAAGTTTCTTGAGACAGGACAATACTTGAGCTAATTATTAGAGAAAATGGCAAATTTAGAGAATTTAAAGCACAACTTAATAAAAAGCATAATTATTTTCTTCATAGGTGATCACCTTTGATCAAATATTCAGCTGAATTAGCTGCTCCAAGAAATCTTCTCTACTCTGTGTAGTCAGCATGTCATTGAGCATTCAGAACCTCACTAACACGAAACTTGAGGCAGAGAATTCCAGAGTCACCTCCTTATTGATACACATGATCTGTCATGATTAATTTTATGTGTCAACTTGACTGGGCTGAGGGATGCCTAGAGAGCTGGTAAAATATTATTTCTGGGTGTGTCTGTGAGGGCGTTTCTGGAAAAGATTAGCATTTGAATCTGAGTAAAGAGTTGCCCTCACCAACATGGGTGGGCCTCATCCAATCCATCCAGGGCCTGAATAGAACAAAAAAGAATAAAAAGGAAGATTGGGCTAGAGCAGGAACATTTATCTTTTCCTGTCCTTTGACATCAGTGCTCCTGTTTCTTCGGCTTTCAGACTTGTTGGACTCAGACTGTTTTAAGCCATGGCTTTTCTGGTTCTCTAGCTTGTAAATAGATGGCAGATTGTGGGACTTCTCGGCCTTCATAATAATGTAAGCCAATTCCCATCATAAATCCTTCTCTCTCTCTCTCTCTAGAGAATATATATCTATTCTCTCCAGAGAAACAGAACCAGTAGGATATACATATACATAAATTTGTTTGTTTCTCTCTCTCTTGTTCCCTCTCTCTCTTATTTTCTCTCAAAAGAATCTTTTCAGAGAAACAGAACCAATTATCTATGTGATATGTAGTAAATAAAAAGTATATTTTATGTATATAATACATGTTACATATTATATGTATAATATATTAATAGGCATAGCAAAACTACTCCATTTTTCTGTATTTACTTTGTTCTTTATATTGACTTTTCACTTTTCCTCAATATCTTGCTAGATGACTGAACCATGTAACAGTTAACTTGGGACTTTCCTTAGCTGAAGGCTAGAAAACTGTAAATAGGTAGATTCCTGTCAGGCCTCTGAACCCAAGCCAGCCCGTATACATCCAGATGGCCTGAAGCAAGTGAGGAATCACAAACGAAGTGAAAATGGCCGTTTCCTGCTTTAACAGATAACATTCCACCATTGTGATTTGTTCCTGCCCCACCTAAACTGAGTGATTAACCTTGTGAAATTCCTTCTCCTGGCTCAGAAGCTGCCCCACTGAGCACCTTGTGAACCCTGCCACTGCCCGTAAGAGAACAACCCCCTTTGACTGTAATTTTCCACTACCCACCCAAATCCTATAAAGCAGCCCCACCCCTATCTCCCTTCACTGACTCTCTTTTCAGACTCAGCCTGCCTGCACCCAGTTGATTAAAAAGCTTTATTGCTCACACGAAGCCTGTTTGGTGGTCTCTTCACACGGACGCGCATGAAATTTGGTGCCGAAACGTGACTCGCATCAAGGGACCTCCCTTTGGGGACCTCCCTTGGGAGATCAATCCCCTGTCCTCCTGCTCTTTGCTCCCTGAGAACGATCCACCTATGACCACTGGTCCTCAGACCAACCAGCCCAAGGAACATCTCACCAATTTTAAACCGGGTGAGCGGCCTCTGTTTACTCTCTTCTCCAACCTCTCTCACTATCCCTCAACATCTTTCTCCTTTCAATCTTGGCGCCACACTTCAATCTCTCCCTTCTCTTAATTTCAGTTCCTTTTCTTTTCTGGTAGAGACAGAGGAGATGCGTTTTATCCATGAACCCAAAACTCCGCGCAGGTCACCGACTCGGAAAAACAGTCTTCCCTTGGTGTTTAATCACTGCGGGGATGCCTGCCTGATTATTCACCACATTTCAGAGGTGTCTGATCACCGCGTGGACGTCTGCCTTGATCCTTCACCCTTAGTGGCAAGCACCACTTTTCTGGGGGGCAAACACCCCCCCACCCCTTCTCTCCGTGTCTCTACTGTCTCTTTTCTCTGGGCTTGCCTCCTTCACTATGGGCAACCTTCCATCCTCCATTCCTCCCTCTTCTCCCTTAGCCTGTGTTCTCAAAAACTTAAAACCTCTTCAACTCACACCTGACCTAAAACCTAAATGCCTTATTTTCTTCTGCAACACTGCTTGGCCCCAATACAAACTTGATAATGGTTCTAAATGGCCAGAAAACGGCACTTTCAATTTCTCCATCCTACAAGAACTAGATAACTTTTGTTGAAAAATGGGCAAATGATCTGAGGTGCCTGACGTCCAGGCATTCTTTTGCACATTGGTCCCTCCCTAATCTCTGTTCCCAATGCAACTCGTCCCAAATCTTCCTTCTTTCCCTCCTGCCTGTCCCCTCAGTCCCAACCCCAAGTGTTGCTGAGTCTTTTCAATCTTCCTTTTCTACAGAGCCATCTGACCTCTTCCCTCCTCCCCAGGCTGCTCCTCGCCAGGCTGAGCCAGGTCCCAGTTCTTCCTCAGCCTCTGCTCCTCCACCCTATAATCCTTCTATTACCTCCCCTCCTCACACCCAGTCTGGCTTACAGTTTTGTTCTGTGACTAGCCCTCCTCCACCTGCCCAACAATTTCCTCTTAAAGAGGTGGCTGGAGCTAAAGGCATAGCCAAGGTTAATGTTCCTTTTTCTTTATCTGACCTCTCCCAAATCAGATAGCATTTAGGCTCTTTTTCATCAATATAAAAACCCAGTTCATGGCTCATTTGGCAGCAACCTTGAGATTCTTAACAGCCCTAGACCCTAAAAAGTCAGAAGGCCGTCTTATTCTCAATATGTATTTTATTACCCAACCTGCTCCCGACATTAAAAAAGCTCCAAAAATTAGATTCTGGCCCTCAAACCCCACAACAGGACTTAATTAACCTCGCCTTCAAGGTGTACAATAATAGAGACAGCCAAGTAGCAACATATTTCTGAGTTGCAATTCCTTCCGTCCACTGTGAGAGAAACCCCAGCCACATCTCCAGCATACAAGAACTTCCAAATGCCTAAGCTGCAGCAGTCAAGCATTCCTATGGGACCTCCTCCCCCAGGATCTTATTTCAAGTTCCAGAAATCTGGCCACTGGGCCAAAGAATGCCCAGAGCCCGGGATTCCTCCTAAGCTGTGTCCCATCTGTGCAGGACCCTACTGAAAATCAGACTGTCCAAATCACCCGGCAGCCACTCCCAGAGCCCCTGGAACTCTGGCCCAAGGCTCTCTGACTGACCTCTTCCCAGATCTTCTCAGCTTAACAGCTGAAGACTGGTGCTGCCTGATCACCTTGGAAGCCTCCTGGACCATCACAGATGCTTTGGGTAACTCTTACAATGGAGGGTAAGCCCGTCCCCTTCTTAATCAATATGGAGGCTACCCACTCCACATTACCTTCTTTTCAAGGGCCTATTTCCCTTGCGTCCATAACTGTTGTGGGTATTGACGGCCAGGCTCCTAAACCTCTTAAAACTCCCCAACTCTGATGCCAACTAGGACAACATTCTTTTATGCACTCCTTTTTAGTTATCCCCACCTGCCTAGCTCCCTTATTAGGTCGAGACATTTTAACTAAGTTATCTGCTTCCCTGACTATTCCTAGGCTACGACCACACCTCATCACCACCCTTTTCCCCAGTAAAAAGCCTCTTTCACATCCTCTCCTTGTATCTCCCCACCTTAATCCACAAGTATAGGACACCTCTACTCCCTCCTTGGTGACCAATCATACACCCCTTACCATCCCATTAAAACCTAATCACCCTTACCCCTCTCAATGCCAATATCCCATCCCACAGCATGCTTTAAAAGGATTAAAGCCTGTTATCACTCACCTGTTACAGCATGGCCTTTTAAAGCCTATAAACTCTCCTTATAATTCCCCCGTTTTACCTGTCCAAAAAACCAGACAAGTCTTACAGGTTAGTTCAGGTCACCTTGTGACCCCCGCCCCTGCCCATAAGAGAACACACCTTTGACTGTAATTTTCCACTACCCCCCTAAATCCTATAAAATGGCCCCACCCCTATCTCCCTTCACTGACTCTCTTTTTGGACTCAGCTCGCCTGCACCCAGGTGATTAAAAAGCTTTATTGCTCACACAAAGCCTGTTTGGTGGTCTCTTCACACAGATGCATGTGAAAATTTCTTTTTCAAAAAGAAATCTTAGCCAGGTGCAGTGGCTCACAGCTGTAATCCCAGCACTTTGGGAGGCTGAGGCTGGGTGATCACTTGAGGTCAGGAGTTTGAGACCAGCCTGGCCAACATGGTGAAACCCCATATCTGCTAAAAATACAAAAAATTAGCTGGACATGGTGGCGGACACCTGTAATCCTAGTTGCTTGGGAGGCTAAGGCAGGAGAATCTCTTGAACCTGGTATGTGAAGGTTGTAGTGAGCACAGATCATGTCATGGCACTCCAGCCTGGATGACAGAGTGAGACTCTGTCTCAAAAAAGAAATCTCAGTAGGCAAATTTTCTGATTTATACTTTTACCATCAGAAATTTTTCCCTAAGTAGAGTTTATAACTATAAAGATATCATTATTTTTGGCATCATGTTTAAAATTTGATAAATATCAACAAAATAAAAACAAAAAGGTAGTAAATCAAATGTATTTTTTTGTTGTTGTTATGTGCCTGAGAATACACTGAAAGCAACTGTTTGGAAGGCACTTAGTGATTTTAAAAAATATGTAGTATTATTTTAGTATTCCAGAATTATTGTTTATGAGTCTACTAAGAAAACTGAGGACAGAACTGATTACAGTGCAGGCTTTGTTCATACAAAAGCAGATGCAAGAACAAAAGAGAATTGAAAATAAAGCATTAATAAATGACCTAACTTAATGTCTATAGCCAATACAAATTGGATACTGGGTTTATGAGGAAAAACATTTCCATGTTAATGTCCAACTTTCCTCTCTAATGCTGGTAGATGCAGAAAATGTAGATTCTATAAATGGAGCAGAATATGTTTTATATCACTCTGTGCCATTTTTATTTCCTTTCTTCACCTTTCCCTTCCTCCTACTTTCTTTCCACTCCTCACTCTTCCTCTGTCTTTTCTCTTCCTCCTTATTCTTCTTTTCTCCTGTTATTTCCTCTTCCTCCTCTTAACTTTAAACTGAGTATCTACTGATTGGATATATGCTGAGACGGCCTCAAGAAAGTTTTGATTTAAAATTCTTTTTAAGGGATTAATACCATTCCATTCTATATGTATATATAATGTGTTGTGAACAAATGGATAAAGAAATGATGTATATTTGACATACACCAATACGATATATTAGGTGTAGTAAGTTGCAAAATAATTTTTGTCTTGTGCTATTTGTTTCATTATTTCTTTTTTGTATAGTAATTTATTATATTTATACATGTGTTTGTTTTGCTTGCATACATAATAGGTAAGAAAATATCTTTAAAAAACTGATGGAGATATTGGTTGGAGTAATGAGATCTTGGGGACAAAGTGTGGGAGAGACTTTTATTTTGATTATATAACTTCTGGTACCTTCTGAACATGGGAATACAAATACTTTTACAAGGTAGTGATTTTATTTCCTCTGGGTATATAGCCAGAAAAGGGGCTGCCGAGTCATATGGTAATTCTATCTGTAATTTCTTTAGGAACTACCATAATGTTTTCCACAATGGCTGCACTAATCTCCATTCCCACCTACAGTGTAGGAGCAATTTGCCGCAATATGGATGAATATGGATGAATATGCTAAGCGAATTAAGACACACACAGAAAGAAAACTACTGCATGATCTCACATGTAGAATCTTAAAAAAAAGTTGAATACACAGAGATGGAGAATAAAGCAGTGGTAATCAGGAATAGGAGTGCATAGGGAAAAAAATGGGAGATGTAGGTCAAAGGACACAAAGTACCAGATATGTAGGGTGAACAAGTACAGAGATCTAATGTACAAAATGAGGACTATAGTTAATAATACATACGGTATTGTACTTGGGATGTTTAATGCTTAAAGAGTAGATTATAGGTGCCCTGGCCACATAAAAAGGGGTTAACTATGTGAGAGGAGGAATATGTTAATTTGCTTGACTGCAGTAACCATTTTATTATCTCGATGTATATCATGTTGTACATCTTAAATACATACAATTAAACTTTTTAAAAAGAAAGTTTCAGTTTAATCTGTCCAGTTGCTCATCTTTTCACCTCAGCTGAGATTTTTATTAGCCCATAAATAGCACATACATAATTTCTTCTTATTATAAAATAATTGAAATATATTAATAATCAAAAAGTTGGCATTTTCACTTTGCAAATCAAAGAAAGCTCAAATGTGCACCAAAATAACCATATATAAATGAGACAGGCTGTGCAGTTTAACCAGATTGTTGATTCTGGTTTCATTCCATTGTAGACCACAGATGTCTCAGCTAAAAGTCTTGTCTGGATGAATTGAGTGCTGGTTTGAGGGGAGAAGTCCTCAGCAGGAGGTGGCTGATTATAATGGAGGTCCTTGACAGTGTTTGAAATAGCAGCAGCAACCAGAAGTCCTAGGACAAGAAAAAATGAAGAATCCCATCTGAAAACGTTTGGTTTGTATGAGGTACTACATTGTACTAACTCTGGGCAAGAACAGTGACTCTAGCAATGCTGTGAATAGTCATCAACGAGGATGTCTCTGCTTAGAATTTTATGCCTAACATGCAAAAGATAGTTTGGGCAAGCACACACTAATCAATAGGTTACTTTCAAATTATAAAGTCATTGGTGATCAGTATTTACATCTGATCTGCTTTTATATTCTCATGTGGTAATGTAGAAAAACAGACAAATTTAAAATCAGGTCCTCTGAGTTCCACTCCAGGCACAACATAGATAATAGAATGAGATTGTTTCCGTAATGAAACAACACAATAGCCTTCCTGAATAATTATGGATATGCAGCTTTTTGCTATATACATATCAATCTCCAATATAGAAACTCCAGAAAAGAGCTACCATTTAAAAATCCCATTAAGTTATTAGATAATCACGATGTTGATTATATGGAACGGATAATCAGACTGTTTAAAATAACCAATAATTCCTATCTGCCTCTCCATAAATTTAGGACCAATGTTTGATGAAACTCGACATCAATTATGGATGAAAACTCTTAATAAAATGGAAGTAGATGTAAAATTTCTTAAATATATAAGTATATATATTTATGAAGCCTAATATGTATAGCAAAGTTAACATGTTCAAACCTAAGCTCTTGATCATCTCCCAAGCTCTTTCTCTACTTATAATCATCTCCATCTAGGTTAAGGTGACTGCATCCTTCCAGTTTTAAGAAAATTAGAATAATTCTTGACACCCAGAAGTTCCTGTCAGTTCTACCTTCAAATCAATTCAGAATCTGACTACATTTTTCCACTTCTAGTGCTAAAAATTTGGAACTAGTTATCAAAGAGAATGAGGCAGCTGTATTAGCAATAATATAGAAAGACCAATATGATATATTAAGTGTCATAAGTTGCAAAATAATTTTTATCTTGTGCTACCATTTTTGTTTCATTATTTCTTTTGTGTATAGTAATGTATTATATTTATACATGTGTTTGTTTTGCTTGCATAGATAATAGGTAAGAAAATATCTTTGAAAGACTGATGGAGAAATTGGTTGGGGTAATGAGTTCTTTTGGAGCAAAGTGTAGGAGAGGATTTTATTTTGATTATATAACTTCTGATACCTTCTCTATTTTACACCAAGTGAATGTATGACTAACTTTTAAAAATAAAATTTTAGAAGACTGTGATTATCCAATAAAATATTTTGCTTATTTTTCTCTCAGTGATTAATCAACTATTTGGTGCTTTTGAAAGGTAAATATCTTAAGATATAGATCAATTTTCATAATAAAATAGGTGAAAAACCAATTTAATATTATGTGATATAGATAAAAATTACACTATGATCATTTTATGTCACTACCTTACATAGAGAATGTAGTTGTTAGAAATTGAAGAGAAATTACTTAAGCCATTATGTTTCATATCTAGTAAAAGTGAGACGAAATTAAGAAAATGGAATGTATGTTTTTTGTATAAAAGGAAAAAATCATAAAACCCATTAAATGAATAATGTGTCAAGTGATGTTTCAGGGAAAGTGATAGAAATCATGTCTCTGAAGACAATTGTAACTGAA
This sequence comes from Homo sapiens, assembly GCF_000001405.40. NCBI lineage: Eukaryota > Metazoa > Chordata > Mammalia > Primates > Hominidae > Homo > Homo sapiens. Next base: position 97,132,958 of record NC_000004.12, on the reverse strand, counting down.
ATGGACAAAGTGCTAGAAATATCCTTTAGGGAATAATTCTGCTATCAGCAGGAAGAATACATGACTTCAAAGAATAGTTACTTTCTTCTTCCTCAATGATCCAGTACTACGATTATGAGCAGCAATTAACTCTAAGAAAACAGGGAAGTTGGATGAAAAGAATTGTATCTAAAATGTTGGATAATTAAAGTAAATGAAACAGGAAGCATCGACTGGGGACATAAAATGTGCTACTCTAGCAGAGCTATTAACTATTGCATTAGAGCCCCTAAATCATATGCGCTTTTTACCTTCAATGACTTAGGTCAAACTGGATCTTCCTACTAAAGGAGCCAAGAGAGCTTAATGTTTCAGCTGTTGATGCCAGTGACAAAGAGACCTTAAGATATACTTCAAGGAAGATGTATGATAAAGAAGGCATATGCTTTTCTCCATTAGTGTGGCAGGTCAAAATATCATTCAATTTATTTCTGAAAGTGTTTTTTTTATTATTATTATTATAACGGATACAGATCATCATTTAAGTCAGTTCACTAGCATTTTATTACAGTTTTAGGAAAAGAAAGGGAAAGCCTTCCAGGGATGACTCACAGGCATTTTTGAAAAGTGGTAGTATTGCTTCAGAATTCTTAAAATCTTCAGTATGTGTTTCAATATAGAACGTGTGGGTGCTGCAACTGAGGCTTTCTGTTGCTGTTTTAACTACATATTGCACAAAAAATGTTTACAGAATCTGCATCAAACATATTTTGAAATTTCAGAGAAGAGGTAGTATATTCAGTGCTACCATTGAGTGCTAAACAGAGGCAATAAACATGAAGTCGAATACCTGTAAAATACTAGTAAATACTATTATAATACTACTATGTACTGTGTAATTATGGAGCCATGTACACATTAAGGCTATTTCCTCATGCCACAGAATACTTGCATTAGAAAAATAAATTATCTAGATGTTATACTTGATTTTATGCAGAAGAAAAAAACATGAATTCAATTGTTTAGTTGTATCCTTGATGATTTAATGACATAGATACTATAGATATTATGGTATTTTTGGTCAGAAACAAGATGTTTGGGGACGTAGATAAAACAACTAACATAATTTAAAGTGAAAGACGGAAATTGAGTAGTTACATTTTGAATCCAGAAGATAAAATGAGTATTATATAAATTATAGTAATGCACAAACATGGCAATTATTGGATAATAATGCAATATTTTGAGGTTGCAATTTACTGCAGAAATAAGGCCATCTAGAATTAGAATCACCAGGAAAGAAATGTAATTGTTAATCTGTTTTGTTTCTTTTGATACTGTATTAGCCAGAGTTCTCTAGAGGGACAGGACTAATAAGATAGATGTATATATGAAAGGGAGTTTATTAAGGAGTATTGACTCACACAATCACAAGGTGAAGTCCCACATAGGCTGTCTGCAAGCTGAGGACAAGGAAGCCTGTTTGAGTCCTCAAACCTCAAAAGTAGGGAGGCCAACAGTGCAGCCTTCAATCTGTGGCTGAAGGTCTGAGAGCCCCTAGCAAACCACTGGTGTAAGCCCAAGAGTCCAAAAGCTGAAGAACTTGGAATCTGATGTTTGAGGGCAGGAAGCATCCGGCATGGGGGAAAGATGAAGGCTGGAGAACTCAGCCAGTCTAGTCCTTCCACGTTCCTCTGCCTGCTTTTATCCTAGCCGTGCTGTCAGCTGATTAGATAAGTTGCTTCAGGGTGGGTCTTCCTCTACCAGTCCACTGACTCAAATGTTAGTCTCCTTTGGAAACACTCTCACAGACACACCCAGGAACAATACTTTGCATCCTTTAATCCCATCTAGTTGACAATATTAACCATCACAGAGAGGTAGCTGCCTAACGGTAACTATTAATCATGTGTTAGTGTGGTAATGTATAAGGATGGAATGGTATCATCCTAATGAGAATGAATGATCATTAAGATGCATAAAGAAAAGCTCTGGCTCTGGCTTGGAGTGAGATTGGCTTGCTTTTTTCCCATCATGTTTTTTTCAGGGGTTTACAGTTCCACCTTGCAGATGCACCCACAAGCCCCCTGGAGCATTTTATGTGTTCTATCAGGGAAGTGTCACACAAATGTTTGGAGAAGGGACACTGGACAGAGTCCTAATTGTGACTCCTATATCTGCCACTTTCCATCTCTGAGCAAGTGGCTTTTCTGTAGCTTAGTTTCATTACCTTAAAATGAGGATAATAACAGTACCAAACTTACAGTTTAATTTAAGGACTCAAAGACTTGATGCATGAGAAAATAAACTAGAAAAAGCCTATCACTTAAGATACTTTTTATAAATGTTAGTTACCATTCTTTTCTTTCAATTTTTATTATAGGTACAGGGCATACATGTGCAGGTTTGTTATATGGGTAATTTTCATGTCATGGAGATTTGGTGTACCTTCATGATTGTTTTGTTACCCAGGTAATCAGCATAATACACAAAGGTGGTTTTTACATCTTCACCCTTCTTCCACCTTCCACCCTCAAGTAGGCCTTGGAGTCTATTGTTCCCTTCTTTGTGTCCATGTGTACTTGATGTTTAGCTCTTAATTATAAGTGAGAACATGGAACAAGGTGGCATTTGGTTTTCTGTTTCTGTGTTACTTTGCTTAGGCTAATGTCCTCCAGCTCTGTCTATATTGCTGCAAAGGACATGATTTTCTTTTTTATGGCTGTGTAACATTCCATGGTGTATATGTACCACATTTTCTTTATCAAGTCTACTGTTGATGGGCATTTAGGTTCTATGTGTTTGCTATTGTGAATAGTGCTGCAATGAGCATACGCATGCATGTGTTTTTATGGTAGAACGATTTATTTTCTTCTGGTATATACTCAGTAATGGGATTGCTGGGTCGAATCATTGTTCTAAGTTCTTTGAGAAATTGCCAAGCTGCTTTCCACAGTGACTAAACTAATATACATTCCCACCCACAGTGTATAAGTGTTCTCTGTTCTCTGTATCTTCATCTGTTATTTTCTGACTTTTTAATAATAGCTATTTTGACTGGTTGTGAGATGGTATCTCATTTTGATTTTGATTTGCGTTTTTCTAATTATTAGTGATTCTGAGCACTTTTTCATATGCTTGTTGACCATGTGTATGTCTTCCTTTGACAAGCATCAGTTCATGCCCTTTGCCCACATTTTAATGGGGTTGTTGGATTTTTGCCTGTTAATTTGAGTTCCTTAAGGATTCTAGATATTAGACCATTGTTAGATGCACAATTTGCAAATATTTTCTGCCATTCTATAGGTTGTTTACTCTGTTGATAGTTTCTTTTTCTGTGCAGAAATGGTTTAGTTTAATTAGGTCCCATTGGTCAATTTTTATTTTGTTGCAATTATTTTTGATGCCTTGATCATGAAATCTTTGTCAGGGCGAACATCCAGAATTGGTATTTCCTGGGTTTTCTTTCTGGGTTTTTATTTTAGGTTTTACATTTTAGGCTTTAATCCATCTTGGCTTCATTTTTCATATATGATATAAGGAAGGGGTTCAGTTCCAATCTTCTGCATACGGCTAGCCAGTATCATAGCAGCATTTGTTGAATAGGAAGTCCATTCCCCATAGTTTGTTTTTGACAATTTTGTCAAAGATCAAATGGTTATAGGTGTGTGACTTTATTTCTGGGCTAGCTATTCTGTCTCATCCATCTATGTGTCTGTTTTTGTACTACTATTGTGCTGTTTGGGTTACCGTACCCTTGTAGTATAATTTGAAGTCAGGTAACGTGATGCTTCAGCTTTATTCTTTTAATTTGGGATTCCTTTGGATAGTTAGGCTCTTTCTAGATTCCATATGAATTTTAAATTAATTTTGTCTTTTTAAAAGAGTTTTGTCTTAATTCTGTAAAAAATATCACTGGTAGTTTAATAGGAATAGCATTGAATCTGTAAATTGCTTTAGGCAGTATTTATTCTTTCTATCCCTGAGCATGTGATGTTTTTCCATTTGTCTGTGTCATCTCTGATTTCTTTCTGTAGTATTTTATACTTCTTTTTCTAGATCTCTCACCTCCCTGGTTAGCTGTATTCCTAGGTATTTTATTTTATTTTATTTTGTTTTATTTTATTTTTGTGGCTATTGTGAATGGGATTGCATTTTTTTTTTTTTTACGTTAAGTTCTAGGATACATGTGCAGAATGTGTAGGTTTGTTACGTAGTTATACATGTGCCATGGTGGTTTGCTGTACCTATCAACCCATCACCGAGGTTTTAAGCCCCACATGCATTAGCTATTTGTCCTGATGCTCTCCCTCCCCCTTCCCCAACAGCCCCAGGTGTGTGTTGTTCCCCTTCCTGTGTCTATGTGTTCTCATTGTTCAGCTCACACTTACGAGTAAGAACATGTGATGTTTGGTTTTCTGTTCCTGTGTTAGTTTGCTGAGAATGATGGCTTCCAACTCCATCTATGTCCCTGCAAATGACATGATCTCATGCCTTTTTATAGCTGCATAATATTCTATGGTGTATATGTACCGCATTTTCTTTATGCAGTCTATCAATTGATGAGCATTTGAGTTGGTTCCATGTGTTTGTTATTGTGAATACTGCTGCAATAAACATACATGTGCATGTATCTTTATAGAATAATGATTTATATTGCTTTAGATATATATTCAGTAATGGGATTGCTGGGTCAATGTTAGAGAAATGTAAATCAAAACCACAATAAGATACCATCTCAATGCGAGTCAGAAGAGCGATTATTAGTGTCAGGAGACAACAGATGCTAGCGAGGCAGTGGAGAAATAGGAACTCTTTTTCATTGTTGGTGGGAATGTAAGTTAGTTCAACCATTGTGGAACGCAGTGTGGTGGTTCCTCAGGGATCTAGAACCAGGGATTGCATTCTTGATTTGGTTTTTAGATTAGCTGTTGGTGGTGTATATAAATGCTAGTAATTTTTGTACATTAATTTTGTTACCTGAAACTTAGCTAAAGTTGTTTATCATATCTAGGAGCTCTTGGTCAAAGACAATGGGGTTATCTAAGTATAAAATCACAGCATCTGGAGAGACAGTTTGACTTCCTCTTTTCCTATTTGGATGGTTTTTATTTCTTTGTCTTTCCTGATTGCTCTGGGTAGGAATTCCAGTACTACGCTGAATAGGATTAGTGAGAATAGGCATCCTTGCCTTGTTTCAGTTCTCAAGGGAATGCTTTCAGGTTTTGGCTATTCAGTATGAGGTTGGCTGTGGGTTTGTCATAGATGGCTCTTATTATTTTGAGGTATGTTCCATCAATATCTAGTTTGTTGAGAATTTTTATTATGAAGGGATGTTGAATTATTGAAAGCCTTTTCTGCATTTGTTGAAATGATCATGTGTTTTTTATTTTTACCTTTGTTTACATGATGAATCACATTCATTGAGTTATATATGTTGAACCAACCTTGCGTCCCATAAATAAAGGTTACCTGATCGTAGTGGATTAGCTTTTTTGTGTACTGCTGAATTTGGTTTGCTAGTATTTTGCTGGGGAATTTTGCATCTAGGTTCATCAAAGATATTGGCCTGAAGTTTTCTTTTGTTGTCATGTCTCTGCCAGATTTTAGTATCAGAAAAATAGTGGCTTCATAAAATTAGTTAGGGAAAAGTCCCTTCTCTTCAATTTTTTTTGGAATAGTTTCAGTAGGGATGGTCCCAGCTTTTCTTTATACATCTGGTAGAATTTGATTGTGAATCTGGTCCAGGGTTTTTTTCTGGTTGGTAGGTTTTTAGTTACTGATTCAATTTCAGAACTTGTTTTGGCTTTTTCAGGGTTTCAGCTTCTTCCTGTTTCAATCATGGGAGCTTGTTTATTTCCAGAATTGTATCAATTTTTTTCTAGGTTTTCTAGTTTGTGTGTATAGAGGTGTTTTTAATGGTCTTGGGGGTATTTTTGTATTTCTGTGGCATTGATTTTCTTTCTGTCATTTCTGATTGTGTTTATTTAGATCTTCTGTTTTTTTTTAAATTAGTCTAACTAGTGGTCTATCAGTCTTATCTATTCTTTCATAAAATAAGCCTAATTTCCCTGATCTTTTGAATGTTTTTTAAATCACAATTTAATTAAGTTTACCTCTGTTAGTCATTGCTCTTCTCCTGCTAGCTTTGGGGTTGGTTTGCTCTTGTTTTTCTGGTTAGCTAATTAATTTGAGATCTTTCTAACATTTGATGTAGACATCTAGTGTTATATACTTTCCTGTTAACACTGCTTTAGCTGGGTCTCAAAGATTCTGGTTTGCATCTTTGTTTCCATTAGTTTCAAAGAAATTCTTGATTTCTACCTTAACTTCATTGTTTATTCAAAAGTAACTCAGGAGCAGGTTGTTTAACTTGCATATAATTGTATAGTTTTGAGTGATCTTACCAGTCTAGATTTCCATTTTTATTTATCTGTGGTCTAAGAGTGTGGTTAGTGTCATTTCAGTTTTTTTGAATTTGCTTTTGGCTATTCAGTATGAGGTTGGCTGTGGGTTTGTCATAGATGGCTCAATTTTTACGTTGATTTTCAAGTATGTGTCATGTGCAAATGAGAATAATTCATATTCTTCTGTTTTTTATGGAGTTTTCTGTACATGTATGTTTGGTCCATTTGCTCACGTTTTGAGTTCATGTCTTGAATATCTTTGGTAGTTTTCAGCCTTGAAGATTTTTCTAATACTGATCAGTAAGGTGTTTGTTCTTTCATTGCTATACAGAAATAATGGAGACTGGATAATTTATAAAAAGAGGTTTAATTGGCTAAAAGTTCTGAAGGATGCACAGAAGCATGGCACTAACATGTGCTTGGCTTCTGGGGAAGCCTAAAAGAACTTACTCATGGCAAAAGGTGAAGTGGCAGCAGGCATCTCACATTGCAGGGTGGGAGCAAGGTGGAAGGTGGTGCCACACACTTTTAAATGACCAGATGTTATGAGAACTCACTCCCTGTTTCAAGGACAGCACCAAGCCATGAGGGATTCTCACCACCCCATAACCCATACAGCTCCCACCAGGCCCCACTTCCAACAATGCTATTACATCTGTACATGAGATCTAGGGGAGACATTCACACTGTATCAGTCTCCTAGTATTATTTTGTGGTTATCTAACTCCCTTCACAGGTGTCTAGGAGTCTGTTTTATAAATGTGGTTGCCCCTGTGCTGAGTGCATATATATATTTAGAATAGCTAAGTCTTGTTGAATGGAATCTTTACTATGACATAAAGTCTTTTTTTTTTATCGTTGTTCATTTAAAATCTGTTTTGTCTGAAATTAGAATAGCAACTCCTGCTTTTTTTGTTTTCTGTTTGCTTGGTAGATTTTCCTCTATCTCTTTACTTTGAGCCTATGCATATCATTGCATGTAAGATGAGTCTCTTGAAGACAGCATACAGTTGGGTCTTGTTTCTTTATTCAACTTGCCATTCCATGCCTTTTAATTGGGTGCATTTAGCATGTTTACATTTAAGGCTAATATTGACTTGTGTGGATTTGATCCTGTCATCATATTGTTAGCTGGTTATTATACAGACTTGATTGTGTAGTTGCTTTATGGTGTCAATGATCTACATACTTAACTGTGTTTTTGTGTGGCCAGTAATGGTCTTTCATTTCCCTATTGAACACTCCCTTTAGAACCAATAGTAAGACAAGTTTTTTAGTAACAAATTCCCTTAGCATTTTCTTGTCTGAAAAGGGTCTTATTTCTCTTTTGCTTATGAAGCTTACTTTGGCTGGATATGAAATTATTGGTTGGAATTTCTTTTCTTTAAGAATGCTGAATATAGGCCACCAATCTCTTGTGGCTTATGGTGTTTCTGCTGAAAGGTCCACTGTTAGCCTGATAAGGTTCCCTTTGTAGATGACCTGTCCCTTCTCTCTAGCTACCTTTAATATTTTTTCTTTCATCCTGACTTTGAAGAATCTGATGACTCTGTGTTGTGGTGATGATTGTCTTGTACAGTATCTCATAGGGGTTCTCTGTATTTTCTGAATTTGAATGTTGGTTACTCCAGTGAGGTTGGAGAAATTTTTGTGGATGACCTATTCAAATATGTTTTACAAGTTGTTTGCTTTCTCTTCCTCTCTTTCAGGTATACCAATTAATAGTTGATTTAGTCTCTTTACATGATCCTGTATTTCTCAGAGGTTTTGTTCATTCTTTTTCTTTATTTTTGTCTGACTAGGTTAATTGGTAGAACCAATCTTCGAGCTCTGAGATTCATTCCTCAGTTTGGTCTGTTTGAGGTTTATATTTGCAATTTGTTATGAAATTCTTGCAGTGAATTTTTCATCTCTATAAAATCAGTTTGATGCTCCTTGAAATGACTATTTTGTCTTTCAGGTCCTGTATCATTTTATTGTATTCTTTAGAATCCTTGGGTTGAGTTTTGACTTTCTCCTGAGTCTTAATGGTCTTCATTCCTATTCCCATTTTGAATTCTATGTCTGTATTTTCAGTCATTTCAGCCTGTTTAAAAACCATTGCTGGGAATCTAGTGTGGTCATTTGAAGGTAAGACGACACTCTGGCTTTTTGAGTTTCCAGAGTTCTTGCAATGATTATTTCTTATCTGTGTGGGCTGATGTTCCTTTAGTCTTTGAAGTTGCTGTCCTTTCAGTGGGATTTTTCGCTTTTATCTTCTTTGTTGCCCTTGAGGGTTTGACTGTGGTATAAGGTGGGTTCAGTTAACTGTCTTCATTTCTGGAACATTTCAGGGTGCCAAGGCTCAGCTCAGCACTCCTTGGCTGCATGTTTTAACTCTTGGGGGCTGGTGCTGGGCCCCTGGCTTTTTTCTCTCACCCCTCAAGATTAGGAACCTACCGCACTAGAGAAACCAAGGTGCTCCTGGTACACTAGCTACAATAATGCAAGGGCAGGCACAGGAGTACAGCATGGTGCATACACGTCATCAAGGATGGGGCCCCAGGGGTGGAGGGACAGCAGGCTGTATGCCCATGCATGCACTGCAGGAGGGGCTTGGGAAGGCAAGATCTGCCCATGCGCATGTGCCAACAAAGAAGTGATGGGGGGCTGTGTGTTTGTATGTGCTGGTAAAGCTGGCAAGGATGCTATAAAGGGAGACTGCAAGTGCGTGGTTGTGCACTGGCATGTGCTAGCCTGCTGGAGTTCTCGGATGGTTAGGTATGGTCTGCCAGTGAAGGAGCTGTGATGTCAGCACCTGAGAAGCACTCTGGTTTGGCATCCGAGGCTACAGTGCAAGCAGCTGTGGCCACACTAGGGCCCCAGGAGAGGCTGGCAGACAGAAAGACAATGCTATGTGAAAAAATACACATAGTTTCAAAAAGCACTTGAAAATTCAAACAAAACAAATGACTGCTTCAATGTGCTTAGTCCAAATTTTGAAGTAAATGCTTTTAAATGCATTAGAGAAAATTGTCTGATAAACAAACGTTCCTGGACATTATGGCTAAACGCTAGCTTCTTTTTTCTTGAGTCTGGCCTAATTGACTACACAGAACTGAAAATAATGAGAAAGCCCTCATTAATTATGCTTTTAAATCCCAGCTACCTCAGGAGCCTGAGGCAGGAGACTCATTTGAGCCCAGGAATTTGCTACCAACATGGGCAACATAACATGACTCCTGTCTCAAAATAATGATAATAATAATAATAACGTTCTGAATCTTAACTCTGTATTTATATATAATTTTCATTATTCTTCCTACACTTTTCTCTCATTAAGACAAATTCCATTTTCAGAATGTGGAAATGTATTTTAGTAGAACAAATGAAACTTAAGTTTGTAGATCTAGGCTTACATTTACAGAGCATATTAACAACTGTTTATATATTTTTATGCCAGATATAATTTTAAGCTATTGTAATTTCTTCATTGTAGAATTATAGGTGGTTATCATTTTACTTTTTTCATTTGGCTTCATATTTTATAATGAATAAAATATATAATTCTTATATAATATATAATACAGTAATTTTTTAAACCTAATGAATATAAATATATTAATGTTATACCTACCTATGTATTTCAGGTTATATGACAAATTTTAATTTTGTATTAAATCCATATTATACAAATAAAGCAGATTTTCATTAAATTCTATTTTTGGTATAAGTAATGTCTTTAATTCTTATTAATACATGATACTTTTTAATAAGTATCATTTTAAATGGATATTGGCAAACAATTGTATTTAAATAAAAGTACAACTACAACTGTTACTTTTAAATTTTAGGAAGGAAAATCTTTTCCTGTCTTTCTGAATGTTTCCCTTTTCATAAAAATGACAAAAATATGTGAAATAGAATCAAATTATGAATTTAATTGTGATTTTTAAAAATTGCCCTCCATAGACACAGTCTTCATAATGATTACCACATACTAGTCATCTAGTCCATATAAATATAAATCCAAAATTCACTCAGTGTTCACCTACATTGTGCATTACTTTACGCTATTTAGGTGAACTATTTGGAAACATTTAAATATTTGAAAAATATGGCTTACTAGGAAGGAGCTTCAAACCTTGAGAAATTGGGCATGAAAAGTAGCTCTTATATTCATTATTATTATTGCATATTGTATCTTAAATTTGGGGTGAACTTCTATCTAACTTGTTACCTTTTACGACTTTTGCCCTGGACCTGGAGAGTGGCAGGAGCTTGGAGGAAGAAGATTTGGATACAGAGGATCCCAAGGCTTAGAGATCTTACAATCTCCTCAATCACAAAGGAATCAATTAAGTCAGTAATGATAGGACAATATCTTCTTAATAGTGTCTTTAGGGATTCCCTCATCAGACTATGGTGCAATCAGCTGCCCCAAATAACAAAACTGTAATTTGTTGCAAACCTTTTTTGGAGAGGAACCACTGAAAGCTAACCTTGGTTTAGTTTCAGAATCTATATTTTGTTTCTACCTCAGTTACTACTGTAGGGGAGAAAAAATAATTTTCTCTCTACTCCTTATAGTTCCTAGCTGGGACAGACCCTTGTAATTAAAGACAGATTAACAAAAGAAAAACAGACAGAAGTTTATTAGCATGCATATTTAATGTATACATGGGAAATGTGCAGTGAATTCTTGAAGAGGGGCTTAGAAATCCGGCTTATAGAACATCCTCAATAAGACTTGTATATTTTTAGAGAAGTGATAAGATAAAGAAAAAGGACTTTGAGTCTCTAGGGATGGCAAATTGTGAGGAGGCAAATAAATGAGGGTTTGTCATGTAGATTTCTCCAGTGCCATCTCTAGGCTGACAAGAGCCTTAAGTAGTCCTCAGAGATTAACCTTTGTCCTCCCCAGTAGAGAAGGGAGGAGGAACACCTTTATAAATTTACATTTTTCTTTTAGGCAAATAGGGGAGGGCAAAGAGCTTTTCCTGTATCTGCTTCTTCTAATTGCCTTTAGATCAAAACAATCCTTATGCAAAAGAGGTATATTTTAGGGTGGCATAGTATGGTCTCCTACACTACTATCCCTTTTTCTTAATGTGTCTTGCACCTAAATTCTTTCTTGATTATTTTTGTAACTATAGCTTAGCTCTGCAATTTGGCAAACTGATTCATCCATGTGAACAATGTCCTGAGACCAGGATCTTGCCTGTCTACTTGTCTCTGGGTATGTAACCATATCCTTTGATAAACCTCCTCTTCCTAGTAAATTCTAGGCATGAGACTTAAATCCCGGCTCCTACTATACCTATAATTACAACTATGTAATAAAAACAAAAGTGTATACCATTAGTAACAGGTTTTATTTTTGTGTGTGTGTATATGTATATATGCACAAACACACATATACACATATATACACACACATATACATATATACATATAAATCTGAATTAACAGCAATTCAGATTTACATTTGAGGCCTAATCCATTCAGTGCTAAGGCAATTTAAAGGAAGTAAAAATACTTTCTCTAGGTCAAAGTATTTTTGTGATGTGTATGTGAGTATTTTTTAATGGCTATGGTTTGAGTATTTTTCCCCTCCAAACATCATGTTGAAATTTAATACCCAGGGTGAAAGTATTGAGAGATGAGGCCTTTAAGAGATGACTTGGTCAGAGGGCTCTGCTGTCTTGAATAGAGGAATCCATTCATGGGTTAATGGATTAATGGGTTAAAGGAGTAATGAGTTCTCATGGGAGTAAGATTGGTGGCTATATAAGAAGAGACCTGAGCTAGACACTCAGCCACCTCACCGTGTGTTGCCCTGTGCTGCCTCAGGACTGTGCAGAAAGTTTCCACCAGTAAGAAGAAATGTGTCTCCTTGACGTTGGACTTCCCAGCCTCCAGAACTGTAAGAAATAAATTTCATTTCTTATAAATTATTCAGTTTTGGGTATTCTGTTATAAGCAACAGAAAATGGACTAAGGCAAAAGCAAACAAAAGAAACTCTGGTTTTAAAAAATGTTTCGTTAGAACAAGTTATTTGGTTATCCTATTCTCCTCCTCTGTCATATTAAACGATTATATTATTTTCTCAAATGTTTGTGAATTACATTGTAAACATGGGTTTAATGAACCTTCATAAAGTAAACAAAATATTTCCTTCATGCCATTGGTAGAACCCTATCTAGTGTACATGTAATTAGTCATGTGTAGTTTCTGAATCCCATTACATTCTCCAAACTTTCATTTCTCCCTTCTTCTCTCTTACTTGCTCCCTCTCTCTTAAAACAAGAAACAGTAGTGTTCCAGGAAAATGAAAATCTTAAAAATTCTCAACTCACTCTTAGCTATTTTTATATGAGTCAACATGTAGCTTACTGTCCAACTAAATACAAGATAAAATGATTTTCTTTCTTACTATTCTCACATAATTTACCTTAAGTGAAAGAGTTGTCTTCAGCACATCTGGTTGCAAGAGAGAACAATAAGATGTTTATAGCAAAATAATGTTTCATAATGAAGTGATTCAGGTATGTGAAAAGCAATTCTCCAAAGAGATTAGAGCTGTAATTTGAATTTGGTTCTGAAGATGAACACCTGTAATAATAACTTTTCTCCATGGCAGTTATCTTTATAAAATTAACAGTGATTCAGATTTATATTTGAGGCTTAGTCCATATTAAATTTCAGTGCCAAGGCAATTTAAAGGCAGTAAAAATACTTTCTCTAGGTCAAAAACAAGTATTGTAAGGCTTTAAAACCAACTTTATAAATGCAAAGGCAAGTGTGAGAAAACTGTTTCTTTGACTAACAAGTTTCTCTTTAAAAATACAAACAGATATGAAGAAGTAGACAAGTGCAGAATGGTTGTCATTACATCTTATTGTATCTTAGTTCAATCAGATGCTTTCTTCTGAACATGTAAAAAGATGATATGGAAGAATACTTGTGAAATATTCTTGTAATTAAAAAAAATTCTTCTTGAAGTTGACAATCAATGTATAAATATACACTTATTCCCTTTTTGCATTGAAACATACTTGACCTTTGGTGACTACGGCCTTATACTATAGTTTGAAGTCAAGTAATATGATGCCTCCAAATTCGTTCTTTTGCTTAGTCTTGCTTTGGCTACGTAGGCTCCATTTTGGTTTGATAGGAATTTTAAGATTGTTTTTTCTAGTTCTGTGAAGGATGATAATAATATTTTGATGGCAGTTGCATTGAATTTGTAGATTGTCTTTGGCAGTATGGTCATTTTCACAATATTCATTCTATCCATCCATGGGCATGGGATGTGTTTCCATTTGTTTGTGTTGTCTATGATTTTTTTTCACAGTGTTTTGTAGTAGAGATCATTCACCTTCTTGGTTAGGTATATTCCTAAGTATTTTATTTTATTTTTTTGCAGCTATCATAAAAGGAGTTGAGTTTTTTATTTGATTCTCAGCTTGGTTGCTGTTGGTGGCAGAGCTACTGATTGGTATACATTAATTTTGTATCCTGAAACTTTGCTGAATTTATTCATCTGTTCTAGGAGCTTTTTGGAGGAGTCTTCAGGGTTTTCTACGTATATAATCATATCTTCAGCAAACAGTGACAGTTTGACTTCCTCTTTACTGATTTGAATACACTTTATTTCTTTCTCTTGTCTAATTGCCCTGGCTAGGACTTCCAGCACTATGTTGGATAGAAGTGGGGAAAGTGGGCATCCCTGTCTTGGTCCAGTTCTCAGGGGGAATTCTTTCATCTTTTCCCCATTCAGCATTATGTTGACTGTGGGTTTGTCATAGATGGCTTTTATTACATTAAGGTATGTTCCTTCTGTGCTGATTTTGCTGAGGGTTTTAATCATAAAAGGATGCTGGGTTTTGTCAAATGCTTTTTCTGAGTCTATTGAGATGATCATGTGATTTTTTGTTTTTAATTATGTTTAGGTGCTGTATCATATTTATTGGCTTGTGTAGGTTAAACCAATGCTGCATCCCTGGTATGAAACCCACTTGATCATGGTAGATTATCTTTATGATATGCTGTTGGATTTGGTTAGCTAGTATTCTGTTAAGGATTTTTGCATCTGTGTTCATCAGGGATATTGGTTCGTAATTTTCCTTTTTTTGTTATGTCCTTTCCTAGTTTTGACATTGGGGTGACACTGGCTTCATAGAATAATTTAGTAAAGATTTCCTCTTTCTCTATCTTGTGGAATAGTGTCAACAGGATTGTTTTTAATTCTTCTTTGAATGTCTGATAGAATTCAGCTGTGAATCTGTCTGGTCCTGGACTTATTTTTGTTGGCAATTTTTTAAATTACTATTTCAATATTGCTGCTTGTTATTGGCTCATTTAGAGTTTCTATTTCTTTTTGTTAAATCTAGGACAGTTGTATATTTCCAGGAATTTATTCATCTTTTCTAGATTTTTGAACTTGTATGCATAAAGGTGTTCACAGTAGCCTTGAATGATTTTTTGCATTTCTGTAGTATTGGTTGGAATAGCTCCTGTTTCATTTCTAGTTGAGCTTATTTAGGTCTTCTCTCTTCTTTTCTTGGTTAATCTCACTAATAGTCTATCAATTTTATTTATGTTTTCAATGAACCAGCTTTTTGTTTCACTTATTGTTTGTATTTTTTTTGTTTCAATTTCATTTAGTTCTCCTGTGATCTTTGTTATTTCTTTTCTGCTGGGTTTGGGTTTAGTTTGTTCTTGTTTCTCTACTTCCTTGAGGTGTGACCTTGGATTGTCTATCTGTGCACTTTCAGACTTTTGGATGTTGGCATTTAAGGCTATGAACTTTCCTGTTAGCACCAACTTTGCTGTATCCCAGCATGGTACTGGCATAAAAATAGGCACATAGACCAATGGAACAGAATAGAGGACACAGAAATAAAGCCAAATACTTAGAGGCAACTGATCTTCTTCAAAGCAAACAAAAACATAAAGTATGGAAAGGGCACCCTATTGAACAAATGATGCTGGAATATTTGGCAAGCCACATATCGAAGACTGAAACTGTATCCTCATCTCTCACCTTATGCAAACATTAACTCAAGATGGATCAAGGACTTAAATATAGGAACTAAAACCATAAAAATTCTAGAAGATAACATCAGAAAAACCCTTCTGGACATTGGCTTAGGCAAAGACCTCATGACCAAGAACCCAAAAGCAAATGTAACAAAAACAGAGATAAGTAGATGGGACTTAATTAAACTAAAAACCTTCTGCACAATAAAAGAAAACAATCTGCAGAGTAAACAGACAACCCACAGAGTGAAAGATATTCTTCACAATCTATACATCTGACAAAGACTAATATCCAGAATCTACAAGGAACTCAAACAAATCAGCAAATAAAAAACAAACAATCCCATCAAAAAGTGGGCTAAGGACATGAATAGACAATTCTCAAAAAAAAAAAAAAAATATATATATATATATATACATATGGTCAACAAACATATGAAAAAATGCTCAACATCACTAATGATCAGGGAAATGTAAACCAAAACCACAATGCGATATCACCTTCCTCCTGCAAGAATGGCCATAATCAAAAAAACAAAAAAAAAATTGATCCTGGTGGGGATGTGGTGAAAAGGGAACACTTTTACACTGCTGGTGAGAATGTAAACTAGTTCAACCACTCTAGAAAACATGTGGAGATTCCTTAAAGAACTAAAAATAGAACTACCATTCAATCCAGAAATTTCACTACTGGGTATCTACCCAGAAGAAAATAAGTCATTATGCGAAAAAGATACTTGAACACTCATATTTATAGCAGCACAATTAGACAATTGCAAAAATATGGAATCAGCTCAAATGCCCATCAATCAATGAGTGGATAAAGAAATTGTGGTATATCTACACCATGGAGTACTACTCAGTGATGAAAAGGAACAAAATAATGGTATTTGCAGCAACCTGGATGGAACTGGAGACCATTATTCGAGTGAAGTAACTCAGGAATGAAAACCCAAACATTGTATGTTCCCATTCCTAAGTGGGAACTAAGATATGAGGATGCAAAGGCATGAGAATGATGTCATGAAGTCTGGGGTCTCCGGGGAAAAGGTGGGAAGTGCGTGGGGAATAAAAGACTACAAATTGGTTACAGTGTATACTGCTTGGGTGATGGGTGCACCAAAATCTCAGAAATCACCACTAAAGAATTTATTCACATAACCAAAACCACCAGTTCCTTAAAACCTGTGGAGATAAAAAGTAAAAATAAAAATAAAAGAAAAAGAAAAATAAACATAATTGATCTTTGATTACTGTAAGAGAGAAATATTTAGACCACTCCTAAATAATTATTAGTTAAATAAAAATCAGTGTGGTACCTGCTGGATTTGATAAACTAAATAATTTAAAAATCTCAACTCATTATGGAGCCTACATTTGCCTGTATAACCTTGTGTGTTACCACTGCCAAGCAATATAGTGCAAATGTTAGAAGCACTAAGGCTGTGGCCTTTCTGACTGTATTTAAATCTAGCATCTTCTCATTACTAGCTCTGTGACTCAATGCACTAGCTCAGCATCACTGAATCTTAGTTCCTCAATTTCTAAAAGAGGTGTAATGATAGTTTCCACTTAGTAGGGCTGTGGTTTGAAATTTGCATCCATGCAGGATATCCATTAATGCAACCAGGTCTTCCCTTTCTAGGCTTTCCTTGGATCTAGGAGATATGAAATGAGAGCCTGAGAGCCTGACACTTTTAAGGTCTGAAAAGAGATATCACCTTCTATTCTCTCTGTAGGCTTCATCTACATAGCAAGAACCTTGGCCTCCACAACTCCCCTTATCTTAACTCAAGCATTTATTGCCACTGTTTAAGTCTTTAAACAAGGCTTAGCTCCTTCAACAAATTGCCAATTAGAAAATCTTTGAATCTACCTATGACCTGTAAGTCCCCACTGTCACCACTTCAAGATATCCCAACTCTTTAGACTGAACCAATGTACACCTTCCATGTGTTGATTTATGATTTACCTGAATTTTTGTCTCCCAAAAATGTATAAAGCCAAACTGTAACCTGACTGTCTTAGGCACACTTTCTTAAGAACTCTTGAGACTGTTTCTCAGGCCATCATCACTGATTTTGGCTCAGAAAAAGCCTCTTCAAATATTTTATAAAGTTTGTTTTTTCTGTTAAGAGTACACAAACACAAAGTCTTCAGAAAAATGTCCAGACATGACAGCAATTACTATGTAGAGCATATTGTATATTCCTCATCCAGACTTCTGGGGTCCAAAATTCTTTCAGATTTTGAATTTTGTAAGATTTTGGAATATTTGCATTATACTTACAGGTTGAGCATCCCTAATCCAAAAATTTGAAATCTGAAATGCTCCACTGAGCATTTCCTTTGAGTGTCATTTTGGCACTCAGAAAGATTTGTATTTTGGAGCATTTTAGATTTTAGATTTTCAGATTAGGGAGGCTCTGCCCATAGTTATTATGATTATTGCCAGTGTTCAAGAACATGATCCCTCCAAATATGGCACCTTGGCCTACTGGGCATTTTATACTGAAAGACACTGAGAAAAACTGCAGAAGCAGGAAGGTCTCTGTGATGTTCTCCTGCTGCCTTCTCTCTGAAGCAGGCCATAAAATCCAGGAAGGCCATTTGCTGACCTTTTTTCTTTCTGCCCTGAAGACCCTCATGTCAGGTGTCTTGTCCTACACTCAAAAGAAATGTCACACAAGAACACAAAAAATAATCTAAACAAACAGGCCTCACTAAGTTTCCCCAGTTTATTACCATTAGATCCTTCTCTTTTGTCTTTTAGTTATACTTCTGCATGTCTGTGTGTGAAAGCACACAGCTTTCTCTAGATCTTTTCATCTTTATTTCTGCAGGCTTATATTACATACATTTATATGCTTTTCTATAGTTAATCTTCTTTTGTTATAAGGGTGTCTGCATGAACCTTGTACTGGGTGAGGAAAAATTTTAGTTTATTACTTCAGTAACAATATAGGAAAAATATAGTGATGTCATATTTTTATTATAACTAAATTAATTTGTAAGGATAAGTAGGATTTAACCTTTAAGTTGTCACAAAATATTTGTTTCTTGTATAGACTATGACCTAAAAGTAAACAAATATCTGCTTTGTAGTTTATAAAACACTTCTATAAACATTCTCTCTTAATTTTGTGTTTCACTGAGGTATTATTATCGCGATCAATCTTTTACAAAAGGGAATAGGCTTATAAACAACTAATTAAACAATAATGAATAAAGTAAATCTAATACTGGGTAAGTAAATAAAGTGATCGTATCTTGGAATTTATGATGTCCATATAAATAAATTTATACTTAGATATGTAATTCTGATGTTAAGACAACTGGTCACAAAAACTTCAAGAAAGTATAGACATTGTCACAGAGCGAATGCTCTCAAAAGAGATGATCTAGGAGGAATGTGAAGTGATATAAAAGCAAGTTCTTATAACACAATTTTAACATACTTGCAAAGTAAAAGAAATAGGACCATATTTCTCAAATTATAGTCCACGTAATTTATGCATCAAAATCATGGGGAATATTTCAAAAAATGTGGATTCTTGAGCCACACTCAAGTCTTGCTGAGGCGAGAGCTGGAGTCCAAATAGGTAGATTTTCTTAACAGTTTACTAGGTGATATTTATGCATGCTAAACTTTGAACTAGGGAAAATATGCAGTACTCTAAGTAATATAGTGTGAACCAGTTTGAGGAAAAAGAAGAATCACTTAATTTCTAATCTTTTAAACAAATAGTCTTCAAGGTAGAAGGATAAACAAAATCTAATTTTAAAAAAAATCCTGAACTTCATAAGTAAACTATTAGATATCAACTGATAATTATAATTATTATATTTTATACTAGTCATCATAATTATTATAATATTCTATAATTACACAAGTTCACATTTCTTGCCCAGATAAGTTGTATTCAATGAACAAGAGAGAATTTGAAGTGTTTATTACAGACCCATTATTGGAGATAACCGAAGACTTACAGATAATTTGAAGGACTAGGAGAAAGTTATCTGTACTTTTTTTTCTTTCTTATAAAAGTTTGCTTTCTACAAACTTATACAATCGATTTCAGCAACAATCTCAATGAAATTAAACAAAATTATGTTAGGACTTAAGAAAGTATTGATAAAGCCTGAGTGTTTATTGAAAATAAAAATAATTTTTATTTCTCTTGATTTCTGTTTTGACAGAATTATTTAACTTGGATAGTGAGGGCCGCAGACATCTGGATTTCAACAAAGCTGCTGAAAATATTCCTCATTACATTTTTCAGAGAAGTGACTTAACTGAATTTCAGATAACAATAACCTAGTGATTTTAATTGGCTCTAAGCTCATACTACGACAACAGTAAGCTATGGTGCAAAGACAGAGAAAGCATTTTAGGCTACATCAGTAGAAGTGCAACATCTCAAGTAAGGGAGGTGAAAATTCTCTGTGTAAGGAAATTTGGACAAATATTGATTCTTATGTTTCTTACAAGGCACACTTTAATAAGACATTGAAAAAATTTTCTTAGGTTCTGAGGTTTGCACAAAACTAGATGGTGATATGTTGAAAGTGATATAGAGGAAACTTCTTCATTGGGCAGTAAATTGGGCTAAATGACCTCTTTCCTGTTCTAAGTTTCCATGATGCTATGTCTTATTTATCTCAAAGATAGGTAAGACTTAAATCCCAAGTGATATTATCCTAGTCTGTTAATACTATGACTCTGAAACTCATATAATTTCAGGCACCATGATAAAATAGCAAAATAACAATGCAGTAAATCTTAGAATGAATGTTAGTGTGTAAAGCTGGCTTTCTTTCTTGATATTAGGGTTATAAAATACTGGGAAGGAAATAAATTTCTCCCATTAGTACTAGATGAAAATACATTTTTCTCTCATGGGATTAGTAAAGGTTGGAAATGTTTTGTGTTTTGTTTGCTCTTTCTTCTAAATTTAAAAGAAATAGCACAATAGGCTGATCTATTTTATTAAATGAGTGTGCCTATGGTTTTGGTATTGCATGTAATTTTTAGTTGTGTTGTAGAAATTGTACCAAGATGAAAATATTTAAAATTTGTTTTAGGGTATACCAGCTGTTTTAGGTATAAAATTCTTTGGGAGCATGATCAATGTCAAAATGATTAAAAATAAATTAAGAAAACAATTTTTAAAGCTGTTAACAATGCAATCAACTGAGTAGTTTTTTAATGACCTTGGATTTCACTAGAGAAGTTACTACTTTGTGATTTTCATTTAAGAAGTCAACATTTATACTATATCTGTTCTATGTATTGAAGTACAGTCAAATATAAAGTCACTTTTCTTTATTTAATGAAGAATCATATAAGGATAAAATACCTTAACAGATTATATAAGGATAAAATACCTTAAAATACCTTAACAATTTACTCATCACTGAGAACAGAAACCTAAGTATTTTTTTCATGATTCTTATTATTTTCAGATATTTAATGTTATGCTATCAATCTCTTTAGAATCTCAAAAACGTTTTAGCTTTCTGCTTATATCACTTGGCAAAAAGGAGTCTTCAGACATTAGGGCTTTCCTCTTTAAATTATTTTAATGTAATTTTAAGCAAATTAATAAACTTGCCTCAGTGTTTTCTTTTTTAAATACACACGCAGTAATACTTTTCTACTCATAATTGGTCCTATTTGACATTCTATGTATGAACTGTGCTATCCATGAGAATGCATAATTCGAAAGCAATATAATTCAAGGATACATATAATCAAAACATGAAGCCATTAAAAATAATTAAATAAAATACCTGGTAAATTTTGGGCCACTGTGCCAGAAATTGCTAGTTACTACTTAATATCCTTTCTCTCCTTTCTTAGGAAGAAATCCAGTCCCATGATACAGCTAATATGCTACATGTACATCCCTTCTTTACCAGTTTTGACCCTGTGAGCAAGTTCTAGTCAATGAGATATAGACACATGGGGTTGGTGAGACTACTGAAATGGCTTCAAATAGAGCTCAGCTGGCTGGGAGGAGCCTTTTTGCCCCTTGCCCTTTCATTCTCCTTGCCCTTCTTTGTGCTGCAATACACAAATGGTATTTGGAGTTCTAATGCCATCTTCTCACTTTGAATAGACGAAGAAGGATGTGGAACAGAAAAATGGAAGGAGCCAGAGTGCTTGATGACATTATGAAGTCACCTTGCCAACTCTATAATGTCTACTGCTGGACCTGTTCTTTTGTGAGATGATGAACACTAATTTTTTGCAGCTGCTAGAGTCTGATATGCGTTATGAGTAACAAAACACAACTCCTAACTGATACAGACACTCAGTAAGATAACATGTGGTAAGATACAACTTTCATGTCTGAAGCAGTGGTGAAATGGTTTATATTGCACACGAAACCATAATGCAGAAAATCTTTGGCAGAGGAGTAAGTGTACATATAGTCATTGTTGTATGGTCCAATAGGTCACTCATATATATGTTATGTATATACATATATATAAAAAATATATATGTGAGATCATATATATGTGATATATATATAAATATATCATATATAAATATATCACATATATATGTCAGGGATAGGTTTCTGGAGTACTCATCCATGAATGGGTTCTTAAATATTTCTGCCAAGTAAAATATGGCAAGGAGGGACTACCTACATAGCAGAGATGATCATGGATTACTACATAGAAACATAGACTTAACTCTGAAAAACCACACATTATGCTTCTCAAAACAGGATCCCACAGACACCTACTGTCCCTAATTGATTCTCTGTTTTTTTGGCATGAGAATGGATTAGAGTTGGATAGCAATACAAAAAATTCTAACAAAAAATGACGTCATTGGAGAGCAACTGTGTCTAATTCAATATTTGGCACAGCAAAAATGCTTCATCAATGGTCAATTAAAGATAAAATGTTAATCATTCAATTTTCACTACTGTGTTCAGTGCCCCATACCCCCACTTTTCCTCCAGACAAGAGAAATAAAACATAAATAAGACCTACTTTTAAAAACCCACCAACTTGTGTTTGCCCCCTATAAGCAGTAATTCTCAAACTTGTAATTTGGATACTTTCATATACATTTGGAATTTTTCTGTTTATTCTTTCTCCAGGCTCCAGGTGTTTTTCTCATAAAAAAAAGCAAGATGGGAAAGGTTGTATCTGATGCCAGTTTCATTTGATGACAGAGAGACCAGAAGACTGCCAGTGGTAGTCCACCAGGTTCTTCTGATCTGGACGTTTCACCTTCACTGTGCCACACTGGGCCTCTACTGTGTCTCCTGCAAAGGCTCTACGGACTGGCTTTCTCCTGGCCACATTGTGGGCCACAGGACTCTGTGCAGAAGCTGGAGAATGAGAAAGGTAAAACAGGCAGGACATTCTAACTCCTCAGAGAGTTCTCAGGCAGATCACGAGGTCAGGAGATCAAGACCATCCTGGCTAACACGGTGAAACCCCGTCTCCACTAAAAATACAAAAAAATTAGCCAGGCGTGGTGGTGGGCGCCTGTAGTCCCAGCTACTCAGGAGGCTGAGGCAGGAGAATGGCGTGAACCTGGGAGGCGGAGCTTACAGTGAGCCGAGATCACGCCACTGCACTCCAGCCTGGGCGACTGAGCAAGACTCCATCTCAAAAAAAATAAAATAAAAATCTCTCACACACAACTTAAAAGTTGAAATATCATTGAGTTCTAGAGTTAAGAAAAAATGGCAGCAAAACTTTTCAGAGGAAAGCATATAACAGAATTCCAATGTCTGAAACGGACGACAGCCAATAAAAACAGAGGCCCTTCGTTGAAGTTTGAAGGGACTAACAAAGCTGCACCTTATTGAATTTTCCCCTCTTGGCCACTTCTCCCTAAGCAACTAATTAAGTTCTCTCAGAAAGGTCCAAGTACCACAGGGACCTCAGAATGGACTGAACACAGTTTGTAAGCTTCTTGTCTACTTTGCCTTCTTCCATATTCTTCTACAATTTTATAATCTGGGCATTTGATGAAGAAATTGAAACCAGAGCGTTTCAGTAATATCCCCATGGTTACATTATTAGAGAAAGAAGTGAAATTAGACTACGGAACTCTAGTATATTTTTCCATTATACAATATTCTCTGGATACAAAGGGAATGACTCTTACCATCATTGGAAACTAAGTTTCAAATCCTTTCCCATCTGAATACATTAAGTTGCGAAAAGAGTGGAATTTGTCACATACTTCTGAATGTCAGAAACTGAAGACAATCATGGCTAATCATTGAGGGAGTAATTCAGGGAAACTGTCTTAGACTGCATCAAAATTCATGGCAAGCATGGACAGTTCAATCAATCATATTATTTATTATCAATTGTGTGTTCAGTGTTCTGGAGGATATAAAAGAAGCATAAAACGTGGCACCTGACCTTAAGGAATTCACTATTTTGTTAGGCAAACAATGTATGTTTCTCTCTCTCTTTCTTTCTCTATCTCTCTCTCTGTGTGTGTGTGTGTTTAGAAGATAGATATCAGTTGAATTGTATAGAATTTCAAAAAAGTTTATTGTAATTAATGAAAGGAAGACTATCAGATTATCTTACTTATCAATTAAAAATGAGAGAGAGAGAAACGAAGGAGGATAAAAAGAAAGAGGAAGAAGAAAGATGAGGAAGAGGAAGAGGTTCTTCAGGAATTTGGTTTTAGTCTTTGGAGGTATCAGTGGATTGATGGGTCTATGACTACTCGAACCCTCTTGTCTGGTCAAATTTCTAGAAAGATGAGGCTAAGAACTTCTCGAGAGAGAGATAGAATGGGGTAAAACAGGTTTAATATAAAAGAAAAACAGAAATGAAGAATGGAGAAATGGAACAAGGAGGTTAGAATTTTCTAACTACTACTGTTCCTGAAATTAGTCTCTGTAACTTTAGACTCATGAGTCATTTTCTAAGCTTGTGTAAAAGGTTTGTTTTCAATCAAACTTTACTCAAATAAGTTAGAATAAATGAATCCAAATTGCCTAGTAAAGTGTATATATAGAAAGCAAAACATGATATATATCATTATTTTGAAATATTATGATTTCTGGTACTCAGGAGTCACATGGTTAAAGTTACAAAAAGGGAATGCAAAGCTGTTGGACTTTTCAGTATGTTGTGTAAAAGAAAAAACACTGAGTGAAAAATGAGAGCCAAGAGCTTTGGTCCTATTTCTACTACCAAGTGTCCAGTTTCACTTGGATAAGAGCAAGGTAAGGAAGTCTCAATTTTCTTTTCTGATGACTAGGGCAAAGATGGGTGATTTTAAAGATGTTTTCTATTTTTCAATTTATGTAAATCTGAGATTGACTCAAAGGCCTGGTGTAATCTGCAAATATCTTTAATATTTGTTCTGTGAAATCCACCATACAAAAACTTATATGACTTTGAAATCTAAAAAAAGTTTTTTCTCTCTGTGAACTTTTTTATATTAGCTTTCCAGCCTTATACTGTCTACGTAAACTCATTTCCGAGATTTCTAAATAATTGTCACTGATTAGGATACAAGGAAAATTTAGTTTCTAAATCATAACATGTGGGAAGTGTGTGCTTGTTTTCTCTGACATTAACAGGATCTTAATTCCTTCTGAGAAGCTGAGTTAACACAGGTTTAATCTTGTATACGTGTTATTATTGAGAATGAATCTGCTTTTCCATTTGATAGAAAATATGATTGTGTTCTGATGAGAGTGACATTTAAAATTGGTTTTCTAGACCTGGTGTGCCCAAAGAAACCTCACAGATGGAAGAGGAGAAAAATGTCAGAGAAGCTGGTACACTTCGATTTGTTTCTGCTGCCTGTATTTTTCTCTTGATACTTGCTTCTTGGAATTGCCTGTAGTGCACCTCAAAAGAAAAACATGTTGCAAAATGCTCTATTAAAGCAGTGCACAATATTTTAATACATTTTAAAATTAAACAACTTTCTCTGCTCTCCTATGGCTGACCTCTCTACCCCATATGCATTGTCTTCCCTTCCCTTGATTCCTTGGGACACTAGTGTTTTTCTGAGGGACAGAAACAAAAGGAAACTTGGTGCTTTTAATACGGATTAGATACTGCAAGAAATTCCCATTTCTCACTATCCTCCTTTCAACAGCAGTTCAAGAAGTCCCTGTTGCAAAGACCAATGTATGTATTTTGAGCAAAAAAAAAAAAAAAAAAAAAAAAAAAAAAAAAACAAGGAAAACAAGGAGCTGAGGTCTCTTCTATATGTCACAGTGTTTTAAAAACTGTCTATCATTTGGTAACCATGTCTTCCTCTCCTCTCTAAGACAAAGCTTTAGAGGTTCATCTTCTAAAACCTATGACAAGTGACCTCTGGTTTTAGTGGTTGGAATTGTTACAATCTGTAAGTCACATGTCACATAACATATGAAAAAGAAAATCTGATCTAGAAATAAAAGGTTATTTTATTTATTAAAAAACTTCTGGAAGAAATAAATTCAAAATGCAACAAATTGATTTAATCTGGCAAAATTATGATTCATTTCAGATTCATGTATTGCTCAATAATGACTTGATGCTTCCTATCTTATTCCCCATTATTCTCCTCTTGTTAAGGTCTTGGATACAAAATTCATACATATTTATCCATTCTCAATGACATTGTCCTAAAAATCTTTTATGTTAGATTTCTTTTGGATATTAATCTCATCAAAACTTCATCAAAATGCAATAGTCAACATTAAAATTCCTATCTTTCTCTACAATAGAAAAAACATTATTAATGTTCTAAGTTTAGTTTACTAAAAATGCAAATGTACTCTTCCCAGTCAAAATTGCCCAGCATCCTTACAATTGTAACTTAGTCAGGCAGGTGGAAATGATGTTAGTTTTATTAGCAGCTTCTGGGCTAAATGCCTTAGGTAACAGAAATCAGAGGAATGATATTGCAATGACATTGTCCTTTAACAAAGGAGTGATGCTTAACATGAGAAATCTACAGTCTGGCCACTGAAAACTGAAGGAAAATAACCACTGTTCATTATTGTGAAACAGGAGAAAACAAGGCATCATAAGTTAAATAAGGGTTTTCCTTCCAGAACTGAAAAGCAAGTTAATCCAAATGACAAATTGGATGGACTTTCTTACAAAATTGTGGGCTTCTCATTTCTGGATGTGCTCAGGCAACAGATGGACACTAATCTATGGGAATCCTGCAGTAGGTGGAAGTTGTACCAGGTGAGCTCTAAGCTTTGTTTAATACAGAGATTCTGTGCTCTAGGAACCATATGGTGAGGGCATTAAAAACAAGACTGAGAGAAAAGAGACACTGTTAATCCCAGTTTTCTTACAATTTCTTCTTGCTGGCTCTTTGAAAAGGTGACCTTTTTTACTCCACACTTAACTGGCATTGTTAACTGTATACTCTGCTAGCCTACTCCCTAAGTTTGTTTCTATACTCATAAACACCATTTAGAAACCATTAATAATTGTTTTTATTAAATACATTACCAAGTGTTCCGAGGCATAGTCTCAAAGAAGCATTTGAGATGGATACAGTTTAGGATGAAGATTATGAATGGCACTGAGTTCGTGGCAGAAGGGAAGAGCATAGGAGATTATTCCTCAGCTCTCTTGATTTTTACCTGATGATTTACAAGGTATGTAAATTAGGAGACAACCACAGAAGGTACATTTAATGACATCTTAATGCATCATGGAATTTATGACAAGGCATGAATAGCTTGTGCACTCAACCATTGGAAGCAGATGCTGCAATAATTCTACTTAATACTTAGAAGCAAAGTGAAGCATATTGTTTTTATACATATGTTTATGAAACATTAATAAGAATAATATACATCATTCAATGCTGAACATATAATCTGAAATCCTATTTTATAAGTATTTATAAAGGAGACATTTTTGTTCTCAACACAAATTGATTTTAAGCCCAGATTCTAGGATGCTGCATGGTTTTCTTTCTCTTTGTATATATTTAACTGCAGTAAGACTAACTGACTCATAGGGCCGGTATCACTTTGTACTGTACCTACTTAGTGAGAGCCTAAAGGAGTTGCTTTGAATCAATTCATAAAATATACTCTCCACTACATGAGCTCAGTTAGAGGCTTGGAAATGGAAATTTTACTATTGTGTTAGATAGTAACCATTGTGTTTGGAAGAATTAAAGAGGTTCATTAATTTTAAGAAAGTACCCAGTTTCTAAACTATGTGGTATTACTTGATGTTTATAGAATAAGAAATCATAAAAATGAATGCCATCAATTTTCCATCAATGCCTCAAATGTCGGGTTGGTTATTCATAATGATCAGTTATGGCCAGGATCACTTATGCATAGGAAAGGAGGCAGAATATTTTTGAGGAAAAAACTCTACATTCCAATATTGCAGTAAATGTGATTTACTGTTCAAAGTGCTATAGTT
Source organism: Homo sapiens (assembly GCF_000001405.40). NCBI lineage: Eukaryota > Metazoa > Chordata > Mammalia > Primates > Hominidae > Homo > Homo sapiens. Next base: position 97,105,139 of record NC_000004.12, on the reverse strand, counting down.
CTTCACTGCTAACCACAGTTGCAGGCATCTTAGTCACACCATTTTCTTTCTGGCAGTACTTTTTCCTATTTGCAATTGTATTACGTTTCTTTTAATGACTTTTACTATCCAATGTCAGGTTTTATTCTCCTCCCTTTAATGGGGAAATCATTTTAAAGAAATAGGATACTGTGTGATTTTCTTTCAGTTAAAATATTCCTAATTGCTAATTGCTCTTCAACACTGCAGTACTGTCTATCCTTAGCTTCCTGAGTTTGGTCAAAAATGTCAAGATCGTGAAATGAATCATTTTTATAACTTTATTTGTGTAAGTATTTAAATGTGAATTAAGTTTAACATGGCAAATTTAGCCTTCTTAAGCAATGCAGTGAAAAGCATCAGATGAAATGTGAGCCTTGGGAAAAGTGAAAAGAGCTTTATGGTCTGAAGGATACGCCACAGCAGCTAAGTAAGAAAGGACAGATTTAAAGTGGTTAGATGCTAGGCATAGGAGTGATTTTAAAAGTACTGCTGAATTTGTTTCATTAATACTACTTAAACCTGTGTAACCCATTTGAACACAATGTAATTGGTTATTTAAATCGACCTTGAGACATTTGATTCTAGCATCATCATGTCTGCACTCTTTCCTTCATCAGCTTATGTCTTACCATTTAAAGATGCTGAGATTTGTAACATCTCTAAACTTGGTGCTTGTTTTAGATTTCTGAATACTGTTGCATACATGACAGGTCCACACCTAAAGAGAACTCTGTCAGGAATTAGAAAACTATGCCATATATTATTATTATTATTATTATTATTTTACAGAGTCTTGCTCTGTCACCCAGGCTGGAGTGCAGTAGCACTATCTCAGCTCACTACAGCCTCTGCCTGGATTCAAGCGATTCTCCTGCCTCAGCTTCCTGAGCAGCTGGGATTATAGGCATGTGATATCACGTCCAGCTAATTCATATCTTAGGTATTTAAAAAGCTATTTTGACTCACTCCTGTCCTAACTGCCAGAAATTGAGATATTGTAAGAAAGAACTGTTAAAAAAAATAATAATTCTTCTTTTCTATTCCTGTATATTACTGTATATTATCAGTTTGTTCAACATATTGAAAAATTTTAACAAAATTTTATCTCAGTTGTGTCTAGGATACCCCGTGAAATAAATTCTAGCACCAAAGTAAATATTTATGAAAATATAGTACTAAAAATAATCTAGTCATTAGTACATAGATAGATTTGTCTAATTGAAATATATCAGGATAAATTACATTTGTATTTAAAATATCAATGTTTATTTTTAAGTACCAATTGTTATTGTAAAATAAAAGGCTTCATAAATGTTTTGAGTTTTCTTGGGTATCACAAACTTTGTTTTGCAGTGGGAAGAAAAAGAATGGCGAATAATGAATATGTTCCACAGCCTATTTGCCCAATTAAAGTAGATAGAGTCAGAGACTATGGTTTAAATAGGTTTAGAGTAAACCTAATATAACAATATTCCAGAGCCCAATTGTGGTCTAGGTATACCTAAGTGTCTTTCTTTTAAGGCCATACTCTTAATTCCCTCCTTGGACTCCACATTCACGACCTTTCCAGGAGGCTGGTTTATTGCCTATGCTCTAACTCCATACCAGCCACTGCTATTCACACATGCTGGATCATGTGCCTCCAACAGTCACTAAAATGCTATCTTCCTCTTTACTATTTTTATCATGACTTGCAATTTGAGGTAAGAGAGCCTCCTGTTTGTCCTCCAGCTCTTTCCCTAGTCTTTCCTGAGAATGTCCTCTGTCCTCTGCTGCTTTCATCTGGAGTCTGGCAGAAACCAGGGTAGCAATAATAGCACAAAGAAAATGAAATTTTATACATTCGATTGCACTTAATATTCACCACAGCCCCATTTGGAGAGATGAGAGGAAAGGCTTAGGGAGCTTCAGTACTTTGC